>NC_000012.12:126492511-126794134 GCF_000001405.40 Homo sapiens | reverse complement strand
ACAGAATGCCTTAAATACTAATACCTCTCAAGTTAGCTAACATTTAAGTCCAGCAGTTTCATGTTGGATCCCTTATCTCTGCTATACATAAACACACATAAATTTAGTACATTCTGATCAAGAATATTTTGCAGAGTATACTTTTTAGTAGAATATTATGTCCTTTCTGTGGATTCACATCAACCTCCTTGTATAGAAATGTTCTTAAATGACTGAAATAATAGTCCACTAATCTACTAATAGGGGTTTTAGGGTCCTATGATTTGGGGGATTTTTGCTGTCATCTTTGTACACGGTTTGGACTTTTTAAAAATAATAAGCATTATGTTAATTAAAATGCTAATACTGCCAATTCAAAATACATATGCCTGCCGGGCATGGTGGCTCACGCCTGTAAGCCAAGCACTTTGAGAGGCCAAGGTGAGCAAGATCAATTGAGGTCAGGAGCTCGATACCAGCCTGGCCAACATAGCGAAACCCTGTTTCTTCAAAAATACAAAAATTAGCCGAGAGTGGTGGTGAGTGCCTGTAATCCCAGCTACTCAGGAGGCTGAGGCACGAGAATTGTTTGAATCTGGGAGGTGGAGGTTGCATTGAGTTGGGATCACACCACTGCACTCCAGAATGAGACTTTGTCTCAAAAAGCAAAAAATAAACAAAACACACACACACACACACACACACACAACATATGCCTCCATCTATCCACAAGGCTAGAAGTGAATTGTTGGCTGAAGGAGGCCCATACATTCGCTAAGGTCCTATGTATTGTTCATGATACTAGATACTGGATACAGCTCCAGGAAAGAGCCCTCATTTCTTCATACTCATGAGGAAACTGTGGTCCTGGGGAACTTGGGTAAAAAAGAGTAAAGGTAAAGAGTGTGGCCCAGCAGGTAATTTGAGAGAAGGATGAGCCAGAAGTTCCCATGAACAATATTAGAAAACAGGAATGATAACAACTAAAATGTGGGTTATATCATATATCTGTCAGCAAATTATCCAGCAAAATAATAAGATCAATAAAAATATAAATATACGGACTTGGCACAGGGGCTCATGCCTGTAATCCTAGCACTTCGGGAGGCCAAGGCAGGCAGATCACTTGAGCTCGGGAGTTCAAGATCAGCCTGGCCAACGGAAACCCTATCTCTACTAAAAATACAAAAAAAAATTAGCCAGGCATGTGGCCTGTGCCTGTAATCCCAGGTACTCAGGAGGCTGAGACAGGAGAATCGCCTGAACCTGGGAGGCAGAGGTTGCAGTGAGCCTAGATGGTATCACTGCACTCTAGCTTTGGCGACAGAGTGAGACTCCATCTCAAAAACAAAAACAAATAAACTAACAAAAACAACAATATTTATACAAGGATAAAGCACGCACAATTGCAACTGAAACTGTCATCTTAACAATTTGTAAAATTAAAACTATGCATAGACTACACTATGCATGAACTGTGCGTAGACTACACTGTGAGTGAACTGTGTGTAGACTACACTGTGCGTGAACTGTGCGTAGACTACACCGTGTGTGAACTGTTTGTAGATTACACTATGCATGAGAGTGTGCTGCAATCGTCCCTCCCTCTCTCCCAGCAAGGCAGAGGCTCAGCCAGAGCCATGGTCATAACTGTGCCATGAGCTTCCAGTTGGTGCCCATTCTAACTGGGAGGAGCTCTGACACCTTTGCTGAGAAATATTTTGACATTTACCCCTCTTTTATAAGCACACAGAATTAATGATGAAAGTAATTTCTAACTTTTACCCAATTCTTACTACATTATGCTAAAAGCTAGCTATGCTTGTATTTCCATGTTTAAGTCTCAATGTGCATGAATGAGGTGTTGTGGTAGGAATCATTTGACCTGTTTTGGAAACCAAGACTCCAAAATAGATGTAGCTTTCCTAAGGTCACAGAGCTAGCAAATGAGGGGTAAGAATTGAATCTAGGTAGTTGAACACACTCTATCAGGAATGAGCGAACTATTTCTGCAAAGGCCAGAGATTAAATATTTTAGACTTGTGACCCTACAGACTCTGTCTCAGCTACTCAACTCTGCTGTTATAGGGCACAAGTCTCCACAGACAACACACAAATGTACAGCCATGGCTATGCTCCAGTAAAATGTCATTTACAAAAACAAGTCTTTAATGGCTATGCCACCAGTAGCGGTTTTGTTTAAAACATATTATAAATATTAATGATATTGATTACAGTCCTTAAAAATGTGTCATGTCCCATTCCTGACACAGAAATACTCAGAATCTATTACTGGCTGACATCATCTAACAACCACCAATTTCTTTCCTGAACTTGTTTAGCATGAGAAAATATATGTCAGCAAAGGTCTGTCTGAATGCAGGCAGGTCAATATGACTTGCCATCTTCATGGTTTTTGCCTGTCTTCATGTCCACTTAGCTGCCTCCAGTTCATTCTCCAGCTACTATCTTTCTGTGTTTTTATATTCCAATATGTGCTAAGAAATGACAGAACATCTAAACCCTATTAGGTGAACATTGGCATAATAGATTAACACCATGAATATGATCATTAGGTCTCATAAACTGTAGTAAATACTTTGCTGTAGGTAGTTGAATTCCACTGGGGACATTAGAAGTGTAGCTTTCCACTCCTGAGCAACTGCAGAAAGGAACATTTAGAAAGTACACAGTGTTTAACCTGCTCCGGCAAAGATGGTTATTTCTGGTCATTTGCAGGGTGTACCAGTGGGCATATATTCCCCTTGACATTTTACAATTACTCCTTTCAGCTGTGAAACCATTTGTATATAACCGAGGTAAGAACCGCTTGCAGAACACTTTGGTCATTCTGGTTTGTTTATAAGAGAACATAAAAGTGCCATCTGCCTGAAGTTTATTCAGGAAATCCACCGCCGAGGGCAGGCAGACCGTGTGGTTTTATGTGCCTTCGAACAAATCACAAACACACTTGCTTTGGGGGAAAGAAAAACACAGCCAGTGTCTAAATGGTCTTACGGAGTAGAGGCCAAACAAAAATAGTTTTAAAAATATTTTAACTTGTATCTGAGGTTCAGGGGCCCAAGTGTAGGTTTGTTATACAGGTAAACTCATGACTTGAGGGTTTGGTACACAGATAACTTCATCATGCTGGTACCAAGCATAGTATGCGATAGTTGTTGTTGTTTGTTTTTCTTTCCTAAACCTCTCCCTCCTCCCGCCCTCCATCCTCAATTAGGCACCAGTGTGTGTTGTTCCCTTCTTTGTGTCCATGACTTCTCATTATTTAGATCCCACTTATAAGTGAGGGCATGCAGTATTTGGTCTTCTGTTCCTGTATCAGTTTGCTAAGGATAACAGCCTCCGGCTCCATCCGTGTTCCTTCAGAGGACATGATCCCCATGATCTCATTCTTTTTGATGGCTGTACCATATTCCATCATGTATATATACCACATTTTCTTTATCCAGTCTACCATTGATGGGCATTTAGGTTGATTCCACCTCTTTGCTATTGTGAATAGTGCTGCAATTAACATACAGGTGCATGCATCTTTATGGTAGAATGACTTATATTCCCTTGGGTATATATCTAGCAGTAGGATTGCTGGGTCAAACGGTAGTTCCGTTTTTAGTTCTTTGAGGAATCACCACACTGCTCTCCATAACGGTTTAACTAATTTACACTCCCACCAACAGTGTATGAACATTCCTTTTCTCCACAACCTCACCAGCATGTGTTATTTTTTTGACTTTAGTAATAGCCATTCTGACTTGTGTGTATAGTGTCCCATTGTGGTTTTGATTTGCATTTCTCTAATTATTACTGCTATTCAGCTTTTTTTCAAGTAATTTTTAATTCATAAGAACCTACTTATTGTCTTAATAAATGGAATACAGTCACAGTACTAGGTAAAGATTTGTTGAGGCTGCTGACCACGGGCTGCAGGTCAGACAACCTTTGGAGTCATGATTCTAAATGTCAGCCTCACTGGCCACAGGGAGAATGGCGGGGGGCTGCACTGATCCCATCCCACCACACAATGCAGAAACAGGATGCAGAGCAGGTGCTTGTTGTCAATAGCACCATTCGCTTTTCCCTGTAGCAGAGATCCACATAGCTTATCAATCCTAGAGCTTCTTCCCATTGAACCCAGACTCTGCCTTAGAATCTTTGTAAGCCGTGTACTTCTAAGTGTCACCGATTGGCAAATGTCCCATTCCTACCAGATAGAGCTTAACAAGACTGTACTGTAGCAGCAAACAATGGATGAATTCAGGATGGAAACAACCTAAATGACCATCAACTAAAGAAATTCAAATATTAGTTGATACATGTGAATATAAAATACTACGCAGTGGTTAAAAAAATGTGAGTGCTATTTACACCGATAAGAAAAATGCCTCAAAAACATCTCAGTGGTTAAAAAAATGTGAGTGCTATTTACACCGATAAGAAAAATGCTTCAAAAACATCTCATTGTACACAAAGAATAGCTCACAGAAAGTAATGTTTTTTGTTTTAATAAGTGTGTCAGACTTCTTTTTTTTTTTTTTGAGACCAAATTTTGCTCTTATTGCCTAGGCTGGAGTGCAATGGCACAGTACCGGCTCACTGCAACCTCTGTCTCCCGGGCTCAAGCAATTCTCCTGCCTCAGCTTCCCAAGTAGCTGGGATTATAGGCGCACACCACCATGCCTGGCTAATTTTTTTGTATTTTTAGTAAAGACAAGGTTTTACCATGTTGGCCAGGCTGGTCTCGAACTCCTGACCTCAAGTGATCCGCCTGTCTCAGTCTCTCAAAGTGCTGAGATTACAGGCCTGAGCTACCACACCTGGCCAGTAGTATGTCAGACTTACAACCACCAAAGCCAGAAGATAATAAATATGCGTTGTTTTAGAATACCAAATTTGTGACTTCTTTTTACACCAGGAAAATAACACTAACACACCTCCTTTCACATTTTCAGCAATGTCTAGTATTAAATCAAGCTTGTGCAAAGCTGTGACTAACTTCAGGGGCCATCATCACACCATCTCCATCGTTCTCAGAAGAAAAGATTCTTCACTAAAGTTTTGCACTGGAGAGAGGCTGTGTGGATAGAGGCCATAATGGGAACCAACAGGGTCAGTGTCAGGGATCGGATGTGGGAACGAGGTACGTGGGGAGAGGCGTGGGGCTTTCGTGAGATGGAAGTGGCCTAGTGCTCTTTCTGGGCTATCCTAATCAGCTTAGAAGACAAAAAGCCTCCCTTGCAATAACAGGAGATTCAATCATAAAATGATAGCACTCATCCAATAGCCCAGCAGCCCCAAGCCCCACATCAAGTTGGTAGGCTTGGAAATGATATGCCAATACATTGAATAAAACCAGATTGTATCACGTGGAGCTGACCCCTGTGTAGAGGAGTTTAGTTCTGCCCCTGCCCCCACCCACCAGCAAGAAGGAATCCTGTAGGAAAAAAGGACAAAGAAAATGAGCCATTTACTAACTTACTCGCAAATTCCAAGCCACACTCAAAATGTTTTGTCCTGGTCCCTCCCTCATATGCTCTATCCATGCTTTTCATAAACGGATGAGGGTGACGTGTCTACGTCACACCCGTGTCATACTGGAAGGAGCCAATTACCCGCTTCCTTCTTTTTGGTTGGGGTGACAGCAGCTAAATCCTGGGGTGTCTCCCTGCTCCTTGTTTGGCCTCTGAGGTGTTTGATCCCATGCAGCTACTTTCCTGCATTTAAAAATGAATCGGCCAAGACGGGCAGATCATTTGAGGTCAAGAGTTTGAGATCAGCCTGGCCAACACAGTGAAACCTTGCCTCTACCAAAAATGTATTTTAAAAAAATTAGCCAGGTGTGTGTGACTGTAATCCCAGCTACTCAGGAGGCTGAGGCAGGAGAATAGTTTGAACCTGGGAGGTGGAGGTTGCAATGAGTGACACAGCGAGATTCCGTCTTAAAAAAAAAATGCTCTAAATGCAAAAGTGTTTTTTTTTCTCCTGGTTAGACGTTAGAACTTAATACAATAATCAGCTAGTGTTGTTACTGTTGCCTTGGGTATTGTTTTCCTTAGTTTTCATTTGGTGGGCAAGCATTTTAAGCCATTACTTTATTTAGAACTAGACTAGAATTAATTTTCAGGGATCTCTCCAAGTCTTGCTCCATAATGAAAATGTATGTAGGAGCCACTTAAAGAGACCATTTCGATCTTCCTCTAAAACAGGGAGCAGGAACTACCTTCAAAGACTATTCTTCAGCATGTTTATGGAATTTGGAGACAACCAACACAAATGATGTTTCAAAAATCTTACCAAGCCTGGCTATTCTGAAGTTTAATAAGCAGCCTTAGTCTTTTGGCATCATTCCAGAGGCAATTCTCATAGTGAACCAAGAGGTCAGCAATAGCACAGGCCACCACCCAATCTAGCAACCTCCAGGCACTGTAATGAATCTTTCTGCACTTCAATGCTGTAGCGTGACACCTTTGTAGGACCAATTAACCCAACAGGGAGACTCTGAAAACACACAGTGATGCGTCGTCCTCCCTCCACCCAAGAGACTTGACATCACCACGAGAAAGGGGGAGATGTGGGGGCACGGATGTAAGGTGGCCAATGAGGACTTCATTTGGGCGCAAAACCAGCCAGGAGCTCCCCCAGGGCAGGCTCAGTCCTTACGCCTGCCAGCCCCTGCTCCCAGAGCTCGGCTAGTCACATGCCATTTAAGGAAATTCAGGAGTGAGGGCCAGAAGTGCTCCTGACTGTGCAAAATGCTGGCTACAACAGGTAGACACACAGATGATCACACTGATTGGCATCCTGACCTCACTGCAAATGCCGCTGTGTCCTCCCATCCTGGAACACAGTGCCTGGGCCGCTCCATCTCCTGAGGATTGCAGGAACTTCCCCTTTCCTCCTCTGTGCTCCTCCTCCTCCATGCAACTCAATTCTTAGGAATCACAAACCAATAAGCCCCCAGAACACTAAGAACTCTGAATGAGAGCCCACCTCTGTGAATTAGATCATGGGATAGCATTGCAAAAACATATCATGACTATCACAGGAGGGTTGAGTGTTTGTGACAGAGGTCTCTTCCACAAGGAGTTTCTCCTGGGTCAAGTCCCCAGATACTCAACGCTAACTGAATAATAGCTCCCTCTAACTCTGTCCCCCATATACTGGACATTCTCCTGGCAATTTTACCTGTGTAAACAGAGGACAAAACTGCATTTGTGGCCAAGGGACCAATATACAACACCTGCTAAAGTCCAAACGATGTGCTGGACCACAAGGAGAGCCCCTACTCTGGTTGAGGGTACAAAATGATATGAGTTAGAAATTAATAGGAAAGCTTGGGAAGGGGATGGACTACAGAGAATTCCAGGTGCCCTGTGCATTCCAGGCCCCAGGGTGGAGGGAAAGGGAAGTGTGTCTTCTCTCTCCTCAGCTCAGGAAAAAAGAATTTCAGGAGGACTACCTGGAAACCCCAATATGTGTTCCCTGCAGTGGGAGACACACTGAACCAGGGCCTGACTCACTCTGGGGGGATCTGACGGGTGAGGAGTTCAGCTCCTCTGAGAGCTGAGAGATGATAGTTGCTGCTGCACATGGAGAGGCTAGAACATCAAACAATAAGTCAGTGGAGCCTGGCTGATGTCACGTGAAAAAATTCCCAGAAAGGTGACCTCAAACAGAGACGATATTGGAAGTAGACTTTGGGGTGCCCAGCAGCTAAACAGGGAAGACGATGTGGTCACACAGTTTTGGGGCCACATGAGTGGAAGATCATCAGTCATGGAAGGGGAATTGAGGTTTGCCAAGGAACCCATGAAAGCATCCCTTAAAAAATAATAAAAAAAAAAATGCCAGGCTCGGTGGCTCACGCCTGTAATCCCAGCACTTTGGGAGGCTGAGGCAGGCAGATCACTGAGGTCAGGAGTTTGAGACCAGCCTGGCCAACATAGTGAAACCCCATCTCTTCTAAAAATACAAAAATCAGCTGGACGTAGTGGCAGGTGCCTGTAATTCCAGCCACTCAGGAAGCTGAGACAGGAGAATCGCTTGAACCTGGGAGGCGGAGGTTTCAGTGAGCTGAGATCGCACCACTGCAATCTAGCCTGGGCAACAAAGAGTGAAACTCTGTCTAAATAAATAAATAAATAAATAAAATAAAATAAAATAAAATAAAATAAAATAAAATAAAATAAAAATAAAAAAGACAGTACCCCACCCAGTGCCTCCCAGGCCAGGGAGCACACAGATGCCAGCTGACACCTGTGTTTGTGACCTCATCTTTCCTGTCCCTCCCAACATCTCTTCCCCTTCCTCTGTGTCTGCTCTGCAAACTCAGAACCCTCAGTCTCCAAGCCAGGAGAGAAAACTTTGAGGCCAATGATGAGGGGCAAAAAGAAAGACTTACCGTGCCTACTTCTACCAAAAGAGTTTCAGCTGGGAGAAGAGAAGAATGCTGTCCTTTGATTGTAGCTCAGAATTGGGATTAGTGAATCATTTTTAAATTGAGGCTGTGTTTTGTCATAAAAAGTCATGGATCTGCCTATTTTCATCCACAGGCAAGAAAATATTATCCCAATTGAGCAAATTAAAGGGAAAATAGAAATCTAAGTAAATCTCACTTTTGTGACTCCACCCTTGGGGCCCCCTCTGAAACCTCTAAGGAAAGGTCCTCCCTTGCCTTGTCCAGCTGCTGGGGCTCCAGGTGTTTCCCGGCTCCTAGAATCGTCACTCCCATCTCTGCCTCCATTGTCACTTGGACTTCTTTTTTCTGTGTGTCTTTTTTTTTTTTTTTTTGACAGAGTTTCGCTCTTGTTGCCCAGGCTGTAGTGCAATGGTGCAGTCTTGGCTCACCACAACCTCCGCCTCCCGGGTTCAAGAGATTCTCCTACCTCAGCCTCCCAAGTAGCTGGGATTACAGGCATGTGCTATCACGCCCAGCTAATTTTGTATTTTTAGTAGAGACATCGTTTCTCCATTTTGGTCAGGCTGGTCTAGAACTCCTGACCTCAGGTGATCCGCCCGCCTCAGCCTCCCAAAGTGCTGGGATTACAAGCATGAGCCACCACACCTGGCCTTTTCTGTATGTCTCTATATGTTCTCTCCTCTTCTTATTAGGGTGCCAGTCATTGAATTTAGGAATCACCCTAAAGCCAGGATAATTTCATCTCAAGACCCTGAACTAATTACATTAGCAAAGAAGCTATTTCCAAAGAAAGTCATATTTGTATTTCCAGATTGATTTGAATTGGGGGAAGTTACCATTAACATCCTATGAATGAGTAACACATACTCTTAATGATCCCATTAGGGTAATTTAGGTTTGTACCCCATTCTTTCGTTTCAGCTTTGGAAGACAAACCAAGACAGAGGAAATCTGAACATTTTCTAGGTGTGACGAAAGGAATTTAAGCGCGAGACATCCCATGGGTTTATCATTCCTGTGACTGACCAGCACCTACATTTTAGATGCTGGGGCCTGATCCATCACTCTGTTCTCAGATGTAGCTCCTAAGCCTGGTCGTGAATGAAGCTTCAGCCAAGCTCAAGGGAAGAAATCTGGTCATTTTCAGGCCCATGAAGCAGAAACACACGTGGTTATATGGACTCTGGGGCCCTTTCGCCCTCTGCTGGTGGGTGCCCAATGAAGCTATTTAACTGTATTTGCATTTGCAGCATTTCCAGTCCTCAAGAGGTCAGGAGATTCTCAGAGACAAGCTGATTGCCCAGAAGCAGTTTGCTAGGTTTAGGAAGTTGCTGCATCTGCCATATGCCACGATATATTCCGATGAACCCATCTTTACTAACTAGAGAATTCAGTCTTGATGTACAGGCAAATTGAGGACATAGAAAACAAGGGGTCTAGGGGAACCAGTTCAGTAACCCCTACAAAGAAAGAAGGATTTAAATAGAAGAACTTAATAGTTTCCAGGGAGCTCTCACGATGCAATCAGTAAATTGAGCATTACCGAAGTGTATTTTTCCTGTTTAAACAACTTGCATTAGGCACATGGGAAAGGGCAAAGTATAAAAATGTAATGTTCTTTTTAATAGTAAAAAATGAAAAAAAATTGTTGTGAAAATGAAAGAAAAAATATTGTAACATCTGCTTTTTAAAGCAAACACCTCTTACCATTTTAAAAAGGACAGTGCCCGCAGGTCGTCTGCCTGATGAAAATGCTAGAAAACCAGCTCACTCCCCAGGTTCGTCACCTGCCAGGTAACTTCCTGAGCCCAAATGAAGCCACTGCTGCTGTCAAGTCGTAAGTCAACCAGCACCATCTCGTGGAATGAGCCAATTGCTCTGTAGAACAATGTCAGGGGCCCCTAAGACTACCCCTATGTTCAGAGATTCACTGGAAGCATGCATGAGACCCAATATAGAGAGGTTCTCCCAGCTAAGAAATATTACAGAGATGCAGGAAGGACGCACAGTGAGATCGTAAGGAAACAAGATGCAGTCTGTAGGCAACCACGTGAAGGCTTCCTATGCTCCTTCTCCCAAGAGGGTCACATAGAAACGTTGTTTCCTAGAAACAAAAGTGCTGAAATATGCATGTAATGGTTCTGCCCAGGGAAGCCCCTTAGAGACTCAGAATGAGCTCACTGGTTGCATCGGATTCTGGTCACATTATCTGCCTCGAATGTACCAAAATTCCAGACTCCCAGAAGGAAAGCAGGTTTTCAGCATAAACAACACTGTGCAGACATTTAGGCACAGAAAACCCCTCATATCAGTTAGGGAACCCTCTTAAAATCCTAGTTTCCAGATGATAGCCAAAGGTTTACCTTGCACACAAGGCTTTCTGAAGGTAGTGGTCTTAGGCCTGTGATGTGAATGTGGTTCTTCAAGACACAAACACGAACATGTTAAAGAGGCAATTTAAAACCCAGCATGAAACAGCATGAAATGCATTTCCACATTGCTGCATTCTAACAAGAATAATTATCAACAAACTGCAGAAGAATGTAACTAAATCCTACTTCATGGGTTTCTCCTTCGGGGTGAGCTATGTAGTTCATAGTTTTGTGGAAAATAGACTCTGCTCTATTAAATGAGGGACTTACACAACATTTCGTGTTGGAGTCACAATGCACAGCTCTCTTCCCTGTTTCTGAACACACATATATACTAACATGCAAGAACCACACATGCCCTTGTGCTACGTTATGGAGTGTTGCCATCCGTTGAGTTTTCGGGTGTATCTTGGAATGTGGTTATGCTCCTTCTAACTAGTACATGGCATGGATTAATGATTTGACCACCTGCATTTTAGAATTTGGGGATAACAGTGATAACCTCATACAATCTTTGGTAACACAATAGAAAACAGAGTAAGAGAAAGGACATTAGAAACTACAAGGAGCTCTGCACAGAAAGTATCATTATTGAATTTGTTTTAATTTCATTAGCCTGAAACGAGCTTGTCTATAATGTGCAAAACCATTAGTCAACTTGTCTCAACCTTTAATCTTTTCCAGATTTGAGAAGGGAGTACAGTGCTTATGGAAGGGGTGAATGGAGAGCATACACAGTGAACACCTATAAGCAACACTTTCCATTATGGGAAAAAGTATATGAAAGTATACATTTCATTATGGGAAACTTCTTATCACAGACACGACTTGTAGACTGATGACTGACTTTGACATTGATGGGTGATGACAATGAAGAGAGACAGGTATCCCCCCCCAAAAAAAAGCCATTCATCAGTAGATTTTGAAAAATCCAGCAAGGGAAGAAGTAGAACATAACTTTTTTTGACACTGGCCTTTGAATCCTGCTAAAGCCACACTGCGGGCTCTTCCTCCTCCTCTCTGACTTTTAAGCTAAACCAACTGTAGGAACTCTGCCAAAGCACAGCGAAGAAGGACAATCCAATTAAGCTGGAATTACTTTTATGTATTTTTAAAGTTATATTCCAGGAGCCAGAGAAAAGAGACCTTATAAATGTTAGCAGCTGGCATGCTTGCTAAAGGTCCATTTCTATATAATTGAGTTCATAAATATTAATTTTATCTGCTCCTGATCTATTTTTGATAAGTCTTTTGAATTCAAAAAAGTGCTGCATGATGCTTACAATCTAGGAACTACTAGTACCCTTTGATGAGTCTAGTATGTTATTTCAGCCATAGATCTATTTCCTTTGGAGTAGGGAAGAGTGTGTGTGTATGTGTGTACACATACATGTCTGTGTGTTTTGGGACAGCTGACACTTGCAGTCGAGTGGTGACACAGGTTAGCTCCCTGTTTCTGTCGTCAAACTAAAGGATAGAGCTTGTTTTCAAAAAAATGTTGCTTTCCCAAGGCCACTTCCATGAAAATCATATCTTTAGTAAACACTGTACCTCTTCCCATCCCCTGAGTCATGACAGCCTCAGTGTGGGGGGGCCTTCAGGAAACACTGGCTGCCCAGCCTGGCTGCTCAGATACAGCAACAAGAAGGAAGGAGGGGTGGAGAGGGAGAGTGTGCCTGAACTCCAGTCTCCAGACCTGCCCAGATATTGCTCAGTACAGAATTTATGTTGACAATAACGATTGTCTTCCAGGAGGAGAGAGAGAGAGAGAGAGAGAGAGAGAGAGAGAGAGAGAGAGAGAGAGAGAGAGCACTGAGAGAGGTATAGCCAAGCTTTGCCCATTTAAAGGAAGTGTGTTTTGGGAGAACATGGGAAAGAGAGGTCACCTCTGCATTCTGAACCTCTGATTTCCCTGTAAGAGTATTTTCTCTGGTTGTTAATTTATGAGTTCCTCAAAATAGAAAGAACTTGTGTCAAAGAAAAAGAGCACTGGACTGAAGTTGAAGAAGCCTGGCTCCTAGTCCTATCTCGTTTATTTGCTTCAGTACACAAAGAAGACACCTAGCTTCAAGTGATTCAATTTTCCTCATTTATGGTACACTATAACAGTGACCTGCAGAACTCTTTCTTCAAATGAAGTCTTACAAGAAAGTCTTACAAGAAAATGTGTATATACTATATTCACATTTACCCTGAACATCATATGCACGTCAACACTGAACATCGTATAACATTTGTGCTGAAAAGCATATACAGGTTTACTCTGAGCATCATATATATTTATACTGAACAAAAGAAGAGAGAAAGAAGGGGAGGAAAAAGGGAAGGAGGAAGAAAAGCGAGAGGAGAGGAAGAAGGAAGAGGATGTAAAGGTAATCTAAATAGTGTAGGAAATTCAACCACAATTCCAGGAAAAATGTCTGTGTCCTGGAATTAGTAGGAGATAAAGATGAAGGTCTGTTATTTCCTTAATAGCAGGTTCCGTTTTCAAATGCTTCTCATAATGTGAGAGTCTCACTGCACTGCTGTGACTACTGTTTGAAGGGTGTGTGTGTGTGCGTGTGTGTGTGTGTGTGTGTGTGTGTGTGTGTGTTGGAATATGATGGCCAAGCTCAAGTCCAGTACTTGCATTAACTCAACAACTGTCCCAAATCCAGAGGGAAAACTGGCTGCTTGACTTTTTGAAAGATGAGGTGTCTGTCTCCAACCTGCGTCTTTCTAAGGGTTTCATGGAACTTTTGACTGCTCCTGGGCCATCTTCAGAGGTGACTGATTACCCCACTCCCATTAAGCTATAGAACCACTGCAGAACAGATATGACTGGTTGCGGGGGAGGCTGGATCTCTGTCTACAGAGCCTTCCCCTCAATCGCAGCCGATACTCCCAAGGCACCTCTGTACATTCAACAGTATTTTAAAAGCACAGAATGACCACTGTCTAACTTGAATTTTAAGAGTGTTTTTTTTTGTTATTCTGGACATTAGTTCAGTATCCGATGTAAGCTTCGCAAATATTTTCTTTCATTCTACAGATAGCCTTTTCATTCTCTTCACAATGTCTTTGGCAGAGAAGAAGTGTTTAATTCTTTAAAAGCCAATTTTATCAATTTTCCTTTTTATTGATCATGTTTTTGGTATAATATCTAAGCATTATTATTTGTCTAATTTGAGGTCATAAGTAGTTTCTTCTATGTTTTCTTGTAATTTTTGTAGTTTGATGTTTGCCTTTAGGTCTGTAATTCAATTTGAGTTAACTTATGTAAAGACTGTGTGGGGCACATATCAAGTGTTATTTGTGGCATATTTTGTATTCATAATTGTTCTAGCACCATTTGTTGCAAATATTATCCATTGTCCATGGAATTAACTTCCACCTATGTTGAAAGTCAATTAACTGTATACCTGTGTGTCCATTGTGGAGTATTCTTCCTTTCAATCATTGATTTACTATGTGTCTATTCTTTCACTAATGTCAGACTGGCTTGATTACTGAAACTTTATGCCTTTATGCTAAGGTGTAAATTTGGATAGTTTTAAGGCTTGAGACCTCCAATTTTGTTGTTCTTAAAAATTATCTGGGCTTTTCAAGATCCTTTGCATTTCTACAAATGTTTTAGAGTCAGCTTGCCAATATCAGCAAAAATCTTCTGAGATTTAGATGAATATTAAATTAAAACTGTAGATCTGTCTGGAGAGAAATCACATACTAAAAATGTTGAGTCTCTTAATACATTAACATGAGTATCGTTCTCTAACTTATTTTATTGGTGTTTTATAGTTTTCAGTATATAGGTCCTACATATATGTTACTAGACATAAACTTAAATGATTCATAGTTTTGATAGTTTTGGGTATTATTGTAATAGCACTTTTATGTTTCCATTTCAATTTGTTCATTGATACTATATAGAAATACAATTGAGTTTTTGATATATTGACATTTTACACTATATTCTTGATAAATCCCTAATTACTTTTACCGTTTTTTTTTCAAAATGTATTTGATTTTCTGTAAGACAGTTTTGTTCCTTATGAATAGAGAAGGGTTTCTTTCTCCCTTTCTAATCCACATGCCTTTTATTTCATTTCTTTTTCTTCTCCTATTCATGGGCTAGGAATTTTAGTACAATGTTGAATAAGATGGGTGAGATGAACATCCTTGCCTTGTTTCTGTTCTTTTCAGGGAAAACTTTAATTATTTCAGCCTTTAATATGTTGTTAAACATACGATTTTTATGGATGCTATTTATTAAGGTAAAATAGTTACATTCCTAGTTTGCTAAGATTTTTTGCCATAAATTGACGTTAGGTTTTGTCAAATGCTTTTACAGCATCAATTCAAAGGATCAGATGGCTTTTCTTCTTTAATCTGCTGATATTTTGAATTACATTAATTGATTAATGGATGTTGAAGTAGCCTTATAGTCCTGGAATTAGCCCTGTTTGGTTTGGGCATGTTATTTTTTTGTTTGTTTTACTGCTGGATTTGATTTGCTAATAGTTTGTTGATAATTTTTATTTATCTTCATAAGCAATTAATTGGTCTATAGTTTTCTGGTTTTGTAATTTCTGCATTTGTCTGATGTTGGTATCAGGACAATCTGGTCTCATCAAATGAGCTCTGAAGTGTTCTCTTCTGTTATCTAAAGAGTTTACGTAGGATTATTATTTTTTTTCTTAAATGTATGATAGAATTCACTAGTGGAGCTACCTGGGTCTGAGTTTCTCTTTGTTTGGAAGGTTTGAGACTCTAAATTAAATTAAAATAAGTAACACTATTTACTTATTTCTTCTGAATGAGCTTTCACAGTTTGTGCCTTTCAAGGAATTTGTCCATCTCATCTAAGTTATCAAACATATGGATACAAAGTTGTTCATTGCATCTCATTATTATTATATTAGCATCTGTAGCATGTTAGGGATGTTACCTAGTTTATTTCTCATACTGGTAATGTATGTCTTTTATTAGTGTTCACTTAAGCTACAGGTTTATCAATGTTATTAATCTTTTCAAAGCAGTAGCTATGGTTTTCATTCATGTTCTCTATTTGTTATCTATTATAAATATTATTGATGTTTTTGCTCTTATCTTCATTATAATTTATTTATGTATGTTATGAGTTTAAATTTCATTACCCTTTTTACTTCCTTTAATGGTACCATGGAACACAACCCTTTGTACACACACTGGTGACTTTGAGCACAGGTTCTCTCTTATTCTTTTGGTTACCTCTGTTTTCAGTGGAGTACTTGGAACGTGGTAGACACCCAGTAGAAGTCTGATGACTGAAATGATGAAGGGAATGGACAGACGCACACAGAATGAATGAATGAATGAATGAATGACTCTCCTAAATACCATTGTGTCCCCACCCACACTATAGCACATGTGCTAATCTCTTCCCTACATCCTGAACAACTAGGCCAATGTATCACTTATTTATTGACATTTTTAAAGACATAGACTTGAGGACACAAGAAGCTGGATTAAGTTCAGCACCATACTGACTGTTTCACCCTAGGAAATTGACTCGACTTTCTGATCTCAGAGTCTTCGTTGGTAAAGTGGAGATAATGACAATGCTTTGTTCACAAGGTTGATGTGAGCACTAAGATAATATACATCAAAGATTAGAGCTTACCAATTGTTGGATACATAGTGGCAATTATGCTTATATTTAAAAAATTCTTGCAAACCATAACTGAACAGCCAAATACATCACTCTATAGAATAAAAGACAAAAAATAAAAAATGCAGATTACAAAATACAAAAAGATATTCATAACTCACAAAACACAAGAGAATAGTATCCAGAATAGAGAAGGAGTTTTAACAAAGCAATAAGTAAAATACAAACAAACTAACAGAAAAATCAGTGAACATTATAAATGGATATTTTAGAGAATAATTTCAAATAGGCAAAAGACATATATAGGTGGTGGTTCATTTTCACTGTCAATTCCATGGACGCACATTAAAGCAAATGAACTACTACCGAGCATCCAAAATACGGGCAGACAATTTAGACACCTGACAGTACCAACCATTATAGAGAAGATATAAGGAGACCAGAATGTTCATACATTGCTTCTGGGAATGTATCTTAGCGGGAGAACTTTGGAAAATCAATTCCACAATATCTAGTAAAATTAAAGATATATATGCAATATCAAGCGGCAATTCCATTCTTGAGTGTATATGTAATTTTTAAACATACAGATGTTTGTGTGTATGCATGTGTATATGCATGTGTGTGATGTGTATATGCATATGTATATACACATAAAGTATTTTATATAATACATGTATATTATATATACACATAGGCATGTACGTGGGTGTGTCTGTGTATGTGCACAAGGAGATAGATATAAGAATATTTAACAGCATCATCTGTAATCACAGAAATGTCAAAAATAATAATTGTCTACCAACCAGATAATGGATAAAACAGTGTAATAAATCAATAAATAAAATACCAAATAACTACTTGAAAATGGAGTCACTAGAACTACATCTTTCAACACAAATAAATCTGAAACTATATGACTAAGAAAACAAAAGCAAGTTGCACTATTTATATGAAGCTTGAAAGCATGCAAACAATTGTGTGTGTGTGTGTGTGTGTGTGCATAGAATCCCATCTTTCAACCTCATTGTGGATTCATTTTTAAAATAGTGATGCAGGATTTTTTGCTCCTTAGCACAGCTAAAACCTGGGTTCTTGTCTCACAACCAGGAAAATTAGGCACGTGGACACACTGAAATGTGAGGAAGGCAAAATGTATTAAAAGAAAGCTCTCAGCAAAAAAAAGGGGGTCCCTGCCAACAAGCTCCCACCTCACAGATTGAATACCAGGCCACCACACATGAGCTGAAGAGGCCAAGCTCCTCCCACTGCATAAGGCGTGAATTTACAGTGGCTCCCCTCGCTTCTCCCAGTGGGCAGGTGGGCCCTTAGTCTGAGCCACTCCACATTGCTTTATTCCCTTACTGTGCATAGGTTCAGGGATGAAATTTTTCACTGTGGGCATCTTTAGGCAAGCTGCCTGTGCACAATGACCTGGGCCACATTTGGCTGTCTCCCAGCTCTATCGATAACGATCTTTCTTATGACTGGTAGAAGTGACTTTATATTTTTACATAGCCAGCATATCTGGGAGTGAACAATAATAATGATTGAAAATGAACAGATGCTTTCAGCACCTGCACTTTCTCAGTTGCCAAATCTACAACAGTTCCTCACAAAAACAACTCTCCCTCATGTGCCGCTTATTTGATTTCATCAACATTATTATGGCACAACCAGAGACACTAAACACTGGCCAGACATTTTTTTTTAGTTTGTTTGTTTTTTGCCCTGTCTGTCTGAAAACATCCCAGGATTGTCTCCAGCATAGGACAGCACACACGTCTTCTTACACTGTTCCTTAAATACAAATTTTTTTTTTTTGAGATGGAGTCTCGCTCTGTTGCCCAGTCTGGAGTGCAGTGGCATGATCTCAGCTCACTGCAACCTCCGCCTCCTGGATTCAAGCAATTGTCCTGCCTCAGCCTCCCGAGTAGCTGGGACCACAGGCATCTGGCACCATGTCTGGCTAATTTTTGTATTTTTAGTGGAGACGGGGTTTCACCATGTTCCACGATGGTCTCGATCTCTTGACCTCATGATTGCACCCGCCTTGGCCTCCTAAAGTGCTGGGATTACAGGCATGAGCCACCGCACCTAGCCAATACAACTTTTAAGAATAGTCCATCTGCATTTATTCTTATTACCCACCACCCTGGATGAAAACTCTTACCTAGAATCACATGGACACATCATAAATGCTGGTTATTTCTATTTAAGTCTCTCCATAAAAAAGATGAGCTCATTCTGGTTGACTTAAGAAATACTGCAGCCAGGAACTTTGGGATGCCGAGGCAGGCGGATCACAAGGTCAGGAGTTCAAGACTAGATTGGCCAATATGGTGAAACCCCATCTCTACTAAAAATACAAAAATAATTAGCTGGGCATGGTGGAACATGCCTGAAATCCCAGCTACTTGGGAGGCTGGGGCAGGATAATTACTTGAGCCTGGGAGGCGGAGGTTGCAGTGAGCCGAGATCGCACCACTGCACTCCAGCCTGGGCAGAAAAGCAAGACTCCATCTCGGAAAAAAAAAAAAAAAGAAATACTTCAACAACCTCTGTCAATATACACAGTGAGCAGGCAGTCACATCTGGGAAACTATTATTTGGGGCTCTAGAGGTAAATGTTTATGCGTTTATCTGGGACTGGCGTTGGGATATTTTGATCGAGATGTTACTGTTTATTATTGATTTTCCTTAGAATATCCTATATATCTACAAGCAATTACATGGTTATGCACCCTTTTTTGCACCATTTTTACATAAGTAATACATACTATACATGCCATTCTAAATTTAGATTATTTGGTTTTGGACTTGAAGGGAAAGAAGAGCTCTGGAAGTTTTGACACTGGGATTTAAATGCTCAAGTCCAGAAGAGGGATGGTTGGCTTTTGCTAGCAAACCATTGGCCAGACATAGTCACAAGGTCATCTTTGGAATTAATGAGGCCAGCAAGTGAAAGTCTATCATGTCTACTGCTAGAAGAGGCAACTGGGGAGTAGGGAGGTCACAGAGGTATGAAGTGGAGGCATCAGGTTTCACCAGCTGCTCAGTGAGACACTGGATCCCAGGTGGGGCAGAGTCTACGTAGAACCCAGTCATTTATTCACTGACTTTCCATTCATTCATTCGGTGTCCCCAGCCTCGTGCATGACATAGTTGCACATCCAGTGGGAACATAAAAAAAGCAGAGTTATATAAGGACCCTCAAATTACTTTCAAAAACAGATCATTAGAATGTGAAACATTCCCCCCTCTTGTCTTTACAAGTTTGCACCACATGAGCCTTTTTAACTGAAGAATTTTAACTTTCTAGAAGACAGATTGGCCTATCCAAGAGAGAGCAATCACTACTGAGGTCATGGCCATATATTCATGCATTGGGGTTGCTGGTTGGCTGGGCTCTCAGGGGTGGTCAAGAGGTTCCCTTTATTCTGAACCCCCTGTAGGGCGTGCTAGTCTTCAATGGAGAAGTTGCAGCTGGGATCAGAGACCCTCCTGGCAATTGCATGATTCACATCTCAGCAATAACATCTTGATGCATAAAGAAGAACACTGTACTTACAATCCCCGGAGGCAGAGGAGTAGACACACAATTACATGGCAGGGGCTTAGTTCATGATTAGGATGGCAAAGATCAGGCCCGGGATGGGCTGGCTGTATAACGCTAAATCAAAGAGGGCTCAGATTTATGAAACCAATAAATAAATGAGGCCCCAGACATCTGTCTGGAGTTGCTTGGGGAAATTCATTGATTTCAGAAAAAGGTATATATTAATAGTTTAAAAACATAAGAATAAAAATCACAGAGTTCATATCTTCAGCCTGAATATTTCTTCCTACTTCAAGATTCCTCCATCCAACTACCAATACCTGTCTCCAGTTAGATATCTACTATGCATCTTTAAATTAATATGTCTGAAACTAAACTCCTGTGTGCCACCACCACAATCTGCATGAACGAACAGATGAATGAATGAATGAATGAATGAATGAATGAATGAATGACTTACCATGACCATCAGAATCAAGGCACCTTGGTATAATATCTCTTTCCTTCCTTACAGCTGAAAATTTAGCTCTTGTCTTTGAAGATTCACTTCTGCCTCTCTCTAGCCCTGAATTGGTCTCTCTAGCAACATGTGTCTCCCCTCTGAATTCCTGTATGGATTTCAGACTAATGGCAGCCAAACCAGTGCCTGCACCCTTCCAGATTGTTTCTTCTAATTTAGTCCTCTGCTGGTGGTCTCCATGCACTCTCCTTTGCATATTCATCTGCAGGTCATCTTCACACATTCTTATCAGCCTAGGAGTCTTCTGTGCAGTGGTCTCTTCCTGCCACATCTCCCCTCTCCCCAGGAGATTAGAATGGCAAAGCCACACTCTATGGGATCTCAAGAACCCAAGTGTGAGATTTGCTTTCAGTATTTAGCAGAATTGGTGTTTCTGGGGCGGCAATCTCCTCCTGGAGATGTGTTAATCATTTACAGAATAGCCTGGACTAGTGTATGGGCCCTGCCCTTAGAGCCAATGCCACATTTATTTTTATTTTGCGAGATCTGCACTGACATGAAAACCGAAAATTCTATTGACGTTTCCTGTTCAACCTAAAAGCTAAATCCAGTTCATCACTGAAATCCCACAATGCCCTGAGACAAATAGTGCTTTAAAATATGTGGTGATTTTTAGGTCAGGTGCGGTGTAATCCCACACCTGTAATCCCAGCACTTTGGGAGGCCGAGGCGGGTGGATCACGAGGTCAGGAGGTTGAGATCAGCCTGATCAATATGGTGAAACCCCATCTCTACTAAAAATACAAACATTAGCCAGCGCCTGTAATCCCAGCTACTCAGGAGGCTGAGGCAGAAGAATGGCACGAACCCGGGAGGCGGAGGCTGCAATGAGCCAAGGTCGCGCCATTGCATTCCAACCTGGGCAACAGAACGAGACTCCGTCTCTAAGAAAAAAAAAAAAAAAAAGTGGTGATTTTTTTAAAAAGGAGTGGTTCATTCAGTTAAATGGGAAGAGTTGTAATGAGGGACTAAGTGGCTAAGTTGGCTGGACTTCCTGGGTCAATAGGGACTTCCCTAAGGGGACTTTCCCCTAAGCCAAAATGAGTCATAGCTGAAAGCTAAGGGATGGAAACTTCAACCAATCAAAGGGGACTTTCCCCTAAGACAAACTGACTCATAGCTGCAAGCTAAGTGGTTGAAACTTGAACCAGTCATATAGGGAGTTTAAGCTCTAGCTTCAGCCTGATGTTTTTAACCAACTAGGCCCGCCAACCCACAAGCAGATAGAAAATAAGCTGATTCTATAGGACAGAAAAAGGAAGAGGGCAGGGGTCATAAGGGGATGTAAGCATAAGATACCCAAGCCAGAAACAGCAACCCTTCCAGGTCCCCTTCCCCCACGTGGAAGCTTTCCTTTCACTTTCGCTTTAATAAATCTTGCCGCAGCACACTCTCTAATCGAGCTGTAACACTCGCCACTGCCGTCCACGGCTTCATTCCTTGAAGCCGTGAGACCACGAACCCTTCGATTGAGAAGAACCTTCGGTCGGAAGAAGACTTCTCGTCTCAGTAACAATAACAAGAAAAACAGCCTAGACTAGACGCACATCAGGAAGACAGGTAGTAACAAAATATTTTGTTGTTTGTACTTTTAGTGTTGTCTCTAAGACAGCTTTGCCTAACCCAGGCAACAAAAATTTAATCCTATACTTTCATCTAAGAGTATTACAATTTTAACTCTTTAATTGAGGTCTGTGGATCATTTGGAGTTAATTTTTGTGTGTGGTGTAAGGAAGGGATCCAAAACATACTTGTCAGCAGCAGTTGTGGAAAAGACTATTTTTCCTATTTTTTTCCTCATTCAACTGTCTGGAATTTTTGTTGAATATCAATTGACTATAAATGTAACGGTACGTTTTACGGCTCTCAAGTCTATTCCACTGGTCTGTGTGTCATTTTTTTATACCAATACCACACTCTTTAATTATTGTGCCCGGGTAATGTCTGACATTGGAAAGTGTGAGTCCTCTAAATGTGTTATTTTTCTCAACTGTTTTGGATGTTCTAAGTCCCCTGTGTTTCAATATGAATTTTATGATAGGCTTCTCAATTTATACAACAAATCCAGCCAGAATTTTGATAGGGACCACATTGAATCTATAGATCAATTTGAGGAGTACTGCCATCTGAACAATATTGTCTTCCAATCCACAAACATGAATTTTTTTCCATTTATTTAAATCTTCTTTAATTCTTTTCAACAATGTTTTCTAGTGCTACATGCATAGGTTTTGCACTTCCTTTTAAGAATTTATTCCTAAATATCATATTATTTCTGAGTGCTATTATAAATATAATTACATATTTTCTTAAAATCATTTTTGGATTGCTTACTTTTAGCATATAGAATTTCAATTTATTTTTGTATATTGATCTTGTATCTTGAAACTTTGTCCAACTAATTATTAGTTTTAATAGGTTTTAAGTGGATTTCTTAAGATGTTCCATACACAAGGTCATATCATGTTTGAATATAAATAGACTTACTTCTTTATTTCCAAACTGGATGCTATTTATTTATTTTTCTGGCCTAATTATCTTGGATAATTTCAGGAAAATTTTGAATAGAAGTTATAAGAGTAGACATTCATGTCTTATTCCTGATCTTAAGAGAAAATAACTCAGTCTTTTACTATTAACTATAATGACAGCTGTGGAGTTTTTTGTAGATGTCCTTTACCTTCTATTTCCAATTTATTGAGTGGTTTTTTAAAAATGTATATGAAAAGGTGTTGGATTTTGTTAAATGCTTTTTCTGGGTATACTGAGATGGTTATGTGGTTTTTGTTATTTATTCTAATAATGTGGTATTTAGATGGGGGTCTTTAACTGCTGGCTGAAGACTCTCCAAAGCTTGTTTTCCTTCTTCCAGAGTGATCTATAGTATTCAATACAGTGGTTTTCATTTGTCCTGTGCATCTGATCATAATGAACAGAACCTCTCTACTGATCACTGAAGAACCTATAGCATGAGTGAGAAATAAACCTTATTGTTTCAAACCACTGAGGTTCTGAGGTTGTTTGTTAGGTAGGTGCCTTTAAAATATGTCCACAAATTTTTCTTTAACAAACCCTCCCTTATCATGTTAAGTCTATTTCCCCTCTCAGTGAGTGAGAGTCCAAATGAGTTACTCACAGAAGTAATTTACAAACAGAAGTAATAATATATGGTGATATGGTTTGGCTGTGTTCCCACCCAAATCTCATCTTGAATTCCCATGTGTTGTGGGAGAGATGCAGTGGGAGATAATTGAATCATGGGGGGAAATTTTTCCCATGCTGTTCTCCTGATAGTGAGTAAGTGTCATGAGATCTGACCGTTTTATAAAGAGGAGTTTCCCTGAAGAAGCTCTCTTTCTCTTTGCCTGCTGCCATGCACGTAAGACGTGACTTGCTCCTCCTTGCCTTCTGCCATGATTGTGAGGCTTCCCCAGCCATGTGGAAATGTAAGTCCAATTAAACTTCTCTCTTTTGTAAATTAGCTGGTCTCAGGTATGTCTTTATTAGCAGTATGAAAACAAACTACTACATATGGCTTTTGGGCTAAGTCATGAAAATAAAAGGCATTGTTCTCTCTCATCACTTACTCTAGGAAAATCTGGCCGTATTTCAGCAAGACACTCAAACCCATGTAGCCAAAACAAAACAAACAACAACAACAACAACAACAAATGCATACTCCTATCAAAAGCCAGTGAAGAACTGAACCCTCCTGCCAAATGCCATGTGCAAAATCAGCTAGGAAGTGAACTCATCATTGATACTATTGAATAAGCATCCCAGACTTAGTAAGGTTGTTTTTGTCCTGGTAGAGATACAAATTACTTCTATTTGATGGAACAGATAACACCCCCCAAAATATGTCATATTGAATATAAGCCAGTTTTTGTATATAACTCATACATCATATATTAATGTTGCTTTTATATATTAGGCTTTAAAAATGTTCTTTAAGCCAGTCCTACCATGTTACTGGTTCTCTAAGTAGTAATTAAAAGAAAATTTATACAGGTTTAATTTTATGTATTTTTAGAGTCATAATTTTATGATTTAGAAAATTATACTTCATGAGCTACTTGCATAAATTAAACAAAATTAATCCCTATCACTTATTTAAATATAAGACTAGGAGCTATTTCCCCTGTCAAGATTGTGTTTTTAAAGTAGTACTGTTTTGAGTAATTTACTTGATGCCAACCCTGTCCCTTGACAGTGTTATTCACTTCAACACAGCTGCAACTCTCTAAAAGAGACATCAGTATTGCCCAAGTTCCTATGATAAACTGGGCTCTGAAATGTTCAGTAACTCGCCCAAGTTCTCACACTTCGTTAAGTAGCAGAACCAGGATTAACCACTAGCTATAACACCAAAGTCCATGTACTTTTCATTAAGCCATGATGCCTCTGAAAATTAGCCAGATCTGAGTTTTTGCTTTCATGGAAGAATAGAGAATCAGCCTGGCGTGGTGGCTTACGCCTATAATCCCAGCACTTTGGGAGGCCGAGGCAGGTGAATCACTTGAGGTGAGGAGTTCGAAACCAGCCTGCCCAACATGGTGAAACCCAGTGTCTACTAAGAATACAAATATACAAATAAGCCTGGCATGGTGGTGCACGCCTGTAATACCAGCTATTTGGGAGGCTGAGGCAGGAGAATCACTTGAACCTAGGAGGTGGAGGTTGCAGTGAGCTGAGATTGTGCCACTGCCCTCCGGCCTGGGCGATGAAGCAAGACTGTCTCAAAAAAAAAAAAAAGACAAAAAACAAACAAACAAAAAAGAATAGAGAATCAGCAGAGACTGACTTGGGTGGGATTCCACCATTTGCATTTTCTCACTGCCCTGAAGTGGTGAGAATTAACACAGGACACATGCATCTCGTGTATGACCGATATCACTAAGCAATCTGACAGATTTCCTGTTTGTTAAAACTGTTCTCAACATGAAACCACGACCAATCAAAAGTGGATGAAAACAATTTTCTTCCTCACTCTAGAGTCTCAAAATTATTGCGGTTTCCTCTTGGGAACAGAATGACATTTCAGGTCTCTATAATTCTCCAGCTTAGGCTAAACTCTGATTTTCAGATTCAGGTTAAAAAAGAATATTCAGATTTTGAAGATTGTTTTTCAGATTGAAGTAGCCCTAAAATAGTCTGTAATATTTTGACTTTGACATTTTCCCCTAGACCATTAAACTCTAACTCAAAAAATCATGTCCATTGTATCTGCCATGTGATTCTGAGTCACAGTATAATTCTGACAGATATTTCCCAAATTCAGGGCAAAGTAACTTAGATTTTATATTTACAGGGAGATCAGGAGCTCCAGACATTCTGCTTCTATGCAAAATTATTATTAGTTATGGCTCCTTGATAATTAGGGAGAGAGGTCAGGCATGGTGGCTCACACATGTAATCCTAGCACTTTGGGAGGCTGAGGTGGGCAGATCACTTGAGGTCAGGAGTTCAAGATCAGCCTGGCCAACATGGTGAAACCCTGTCTCTACTAAAAATATAAAAATTAGCCAGGTGTGTTGGTGCACGCTTGTAAACCCAGCTACATGGTAGGCTGAGGCAGGAGAATGACTTGAACCCAGGAGGCAGAGGTTGCGGTGAGCAGAGATCATGCCATCGCACTCCAGCCTGGGAGACAAGGGCGAAACTCTGTCTCAACCACAACAACAAAAAACAAACAAACAAACAAAATAAATAAATAAATAAAAGCAAAACTCCATCTCACAGAAAGAAAAAAAACAAAAAGAAAAAATAAATATATAATTAGGGAGAGAAAAATCTCAAGTCTGAACACAAGAAGCGAAGTGACTTAATCCTACTCTGAATACATTTGCCTTTACTCATGTTGTTGAATCCAAAGCTCACACTGCTTGCTGTACAATAGTCAATAAGTTGAGAGACAAGGTGTTGGTGATGCAGAATTGTTCTTGGCCCCTTTGCTGGACTCACAGCAAGGGGCGCCCTGTCTACTCCGCCAGCCACGCTCAGCCCCTGGCAGGAGGGAGCACGTGTGTGAGTGAGTGCAGGGCCTGATCAGCCCCTTTGAGGGCTGACACAGGAGCAAACTCTGTGCGGGGCCTGCGGCCAGACCAGGCATGTCACCCCAAGGGGAATGCTGCAGGGCCCAAGCAGGGGTGCCAATGACCCTGAAGCCCCAGACGGGGTGTTACAGTGTGCTAATTAACTCTTTTAGTTCCACCATCCACAGCCCAATGGGCAGTAGTGTGTTAGCAGCTCAGCCAGCCTCTTGCCCCACTCCGGCCCATGACTCTGGGACTGGTGTGGCTCTGGGGCTGGCTTGGCCCTGCCGCTGCTTCTATCATGTGGGGTGACTGCTCTCCACCAGTGCCAGCAAGGGAAGAGGGCCAGTGTTACATCCTTCCTGGGTACCTGCCTTTGATGGCTCCCAGGCTCTTGTCCTGTGTCCAAGAAGAATGAGGTCATGCTGACAACTGAAGGGTGATGAGAGCAGAGAATTTTATTGGGCAACAAAACAGCTCTCAGCAGAGAGAGGATGGGAAGGTGGGGTCATCTCTTTCCTGAAGTCAGGTGGTCTCTCTCAGTGTGGCTGAGTCTGGGGCTTTAATAGGCACAGGATAAGGAAGTGCATGCTGATTGATTTGTGAATATGCAAAAAAGATTAAAACAAAGGTAGCACTCAAAGGTGGGCACAGTGTAAAAGCAATTAGGGAAGGGTAGGTATATGTAAAATAGGTGAAGGGTGGGAACTAAAGGAAAGTGTGTCAAACAGGAAGACAGGTTCTCAACCCGGTGAGTGGATTTGATTTGTAGCTTGGCCTTCAGGCTTTAAACTGTCTTTTGCTTGAAGGTGGGGTTTTACCAGGGACCCGCCCTTGTCTGCCTAGGATTTCTCTGCCTCCTGCCTCTATCACTGGGGCTAGAAAAGCTAGTTTATTTCAGAAAGCCAGCAAACTGAGAAGCTGGCATACTAATGTCCTGAAGGACCATCTTAAAAGGCATGACTTCCAAGCTTCTTTTTATTTGGGTGAAGGGGAATCAAGGAGGGGCCTGAGATCAGAGGGTAACAGGTGACCGCAGACATCAAGGCATTGGCAGGAGCCTAAGGGGGTTGTGAAGCTTCTTTGTCCTTGGTCAGGTCACAATGCTCCTATAAACATTTAACATACCATGGTTATTTATGTGTATGGCCCTCTTTATCTCCTCAGGGATGAGTTTTTGAAAGTGGCTATTATCATCCTTGCTTTAAACTATAAACTAATTTCCTCCCATCATTAGCTTGTTTTACATATAGTAATGATCAAAGGCAGTTAGCTAGTGAGGTTAGAAACAAGATTGATTCAGCTGTGTTAGATTTCTCTCACTGTTACAGTGATGTGGGATACAAGAAGTTAGGTCCCCAAGTAATGAGGAGATTCAAGTTTCCAACATCGGCACACTCACAAGTGGGTTGTAAAGCTAATGGTGGCATGACCCTCCCCAAGACTTTGGGTCCTGTGTTAGCTACACATTTCCCCAGTATCCATTGAGCCAGATGCTAAAGCTGATCTTTTTGCATCAGGGATGGACTCAGAGATTTCAGAACCACACCCTTGAGTCAAGAGTCAAGAATGCTCCCAGTCACCAAATGTAATCATATTTTGAACCTTCAGTTGTACCTTGTGAGTTCCTCTACCACAAGGTTAGCCTGGTATGATTTTTAAAACCATAATGACAAGTACACTTCATAATCACTGCCTAATTGCAGCCATTTCTTTGCCAGGAAGTCATATATTGTCTTCCTAAGGCATACTGATAAGCCCATTCACACAGGATTAAATACTTCCATCCCAAAATGGCTATTATGCTTGACAGACTGATTAGCAAGTGTAGGGAGATGAAAACTACAATCTGAGTAAATTGGATGCTTTAAAATTCACTAGAAGGATGCTGTTAATTACACTAGCAAGTCTATAGTCTACATATATTTTTCCTCAGTAAAATAGATTGCACACATATCCAGTGCAATTTCTGACTAATAATGCTTAATAGGGGAATATCAAGCCCTCAACTTGTAATATTCTTATTTATATTAAATCATCACTTAAATGTTTTTCTAATTGTTTGCCCAGCTTTATGGCCAGGAAGCTTTTCTACACCACAAGGGAACTGCTGTCCCTGCACTAGTTGAAAATATACTTGCCCTGGCTGGGTACAGTGGCTCATGCCTGTAATCCTAGCACTTTGGGAGGCTGAGGCAGGTTGATCGCTTGAGCCTAGGAGTTTAAGATGAGCTTGGGCAACATGGAAAGACCCCCATCTCTACAAAAGAAAAATACAAAAGAATAAGAAAAGAAAATACACTAACCCTTAAAAACTCAAAATCATGAGGGTGGAGGAACCAGGAAAAACAGACTTTCTGCTAAGGCCAGGATTCTGTTGTTTACTGACGAAGACTGCTTTCTTGACCACACTTTAGTTTGATTTCTTTGATCTTTGTCCTTGACTAAGCTTTGACCCTGAAGACCTTCATGTCTTCAGCCTGCTAAATCAGCATATTGAGAACCACCCATCAATTTTATTTATCATAAAATATTTCTTTTTCTGCCCTTGACATCCAAATCTTTGGTCTGCCCTTAACAAGAATCTTTCTAGGTCAGTTTATCAAACGCCCCTTTCCACTTGATGCCTATTTTTCCATCCATTGATCTCCTTATTCAGCTAGTTTGCTAAACATCCTCCCTTGTCCTTGTTGTATTCAGAGTTGAGTTCAGTCTCTCTCCCTTATTGCAATACCTTTGAATAAAATACGACTTCCCTTTATCAACAAGTGTCTAGTGAACAACTTTTCTCTTTAACTAGACTATGAAAGCAAGTTTCAAGTTTGCAAGCATATCTTCTCAACCACATTTTTAAAGTGCAAATACATCCTTGAAATGTCCAGCATGATTAGGAAGTTTGCTTTCCAAGGCATTGTCTTCTTTTTGAATAAAGCTTTTCCAGATACAGTACTAACAGAGCCCTTTTTTGTTTAGATGCACTGCATTTAGCAGACAGTTTCTGACATTTACTGTGTGTCCAGCATGGTTCCAGGGCCCTCACTATGGCTCTCTTCCTGAAGAATGCTCATTTATGAATGCTGTGTGGTGCACCTGCATTGACACAGGGGATGTTTGCTGTTTTGCTGACCTGGAGTCCTTTTTTTTCTACTCCTATCATAGCTGCACTCACAGTCCTTCCAGATTCCACCACATGCTCAGGAAGGGCACATAATCTGGGCCTGAACAATCAGAACATTCCATTTTCTGTCCACGGTGACTGATTCAGGGATGGTGTGTTAGTCGGTTCTTGAATTGCTATTAAGAAATACTTGAGACTAGGTTATTTATAAAGAAGAGAGGTTTAGTTTGGCTCACATTTCTGCAGGCTCTATGAGAAGCCTGGTGCTAGTATCTGCTCCTGGTGGGGTTTCAGGAAGCTTAGAATCATGATGTAAGACAAAGAGGGTGCTGGCATATCAGATGGTAAGAGCAGGAGCAAGAGACAGAGAGGGGAGGTGCCACACTCTTTTAAATAACCAGCTCTCATGTGAACTCATTAGCACTCATTACCATGGGGAAGACACAGACCTATTCATGAGACATCTGCTCCCATGACCCAAACACCTTCCACAAGGCAAGAGTCACATTTCAACATGAGACTTAGAGGGGAGAGTTATTCAAACCATATCAGATGGATGCAAGACTCTATCTGGGCAGGAAGTCGGGTCCAGGACTTTCACTGAAACTGCTGGCAAGAGTAGAGAAGGGACATCTTCTGCCTTCTGCGAGGACAAGAGCATGTGTCTGTCAGGGGTTACCAATTGAAGAGAGTCTGCCTGAAAGAAAAGCCAGCACAAGTGAAATCAGAGCAGGGAGACAGAGAAAGCAGGTCTTGAGAAAAATGCTTCAGCTACTGGTTCCAGCTACACCTGGAACTCGTGTATTCCTGGACTTATCAACAAATTAATAAATTCCTTTCTCACTCAAGCCAGTTTGAGTGGTGATCAGAAAAGGACTGATGGGCACTGGGACTAACACAGGATGTATGTGATTTAGATAGTGACTTCCTGTGTAACCCCGGGTAAGCCCAACACCCTCATGAAACATTTTGTCTTTGAATAAACAGGTACCCAGCATAACCCCATTGAAGAGCTGTTCCCTGGGACCTGGAGAGGAACACAGCAGGCTGCCATGCCCACTGCACCTGCAGGTGAGGCAAGGCAGTAAAACAGAGAGGCTGTGACTATCCAGGCAAACAGTTGAGAGTTTGAATTTCTGCTCTGCTGCTCATGGGCTGTGTAACCCTAAGACAATTATTTGACCTCTCTGAGCCTCAATTTTCTCACCAGTAAATTGAGAAAAATAGTACCGTCTGGTAAACTCTCAAGGAATGTTGGATGAAAGAACAAAAACATGAGTGAATGAACAAATAATGGAATACATGTTAAAGGACCAACAGATGTGTATACCTGCTGCATAGTAACTTATCAATACACTGAGACAGCAGGGTTTGCAGCAGAGAAAGAGTTTAATAATTGCAGGGCACCAAGTGAGGAGATGGAAGGAGACTGTTTTTTCCATCTCTGCAAGGGTTTCTGGGCTGGAGCTGTTCATGGAGGTTGAGGGGCTGGAAGATTGGGGTCATTGATTGGTTAGGATAGGAGGGATAAACCATCAGGACATGGAAACTGCATTCTTTGGTAAGACAGTTTCTTGCAGGGTCCTTCAGACCAGCTGAGTTAGTAGTTTCACTGGTATACCAGATTGAAAGGGTATCTGATATGATTTGGCTGTGTCCTCACCCATATCTTATCTTGAATTCCCATGTATTTTGGAAGGGACCTGGTAGGAGGTCATTGAATAATGGGGGCAGGACTTTTCCATACTCTTCTCATGATAGCAAATAAGTCTCATGAGATCTGACAGTTTTAAAAAGGGGAGTTTTCCTGCACAAGCTCTCTCTTTGCCTGCTGCCATCCATGGAAGATATGACTTGCTCCTCCTTGCCTTCTGCCATGATTGTGAGGCCTCCCCAGCCACATTGAAATGTAAGTCCATTAAACCCTTTTTCCTGTATAAATTACTCAGTCTCGGGTATGTCTTTATCAGCAGCATGAAAATGGACTAGCACAGTATCCCAAGTGGACAATATTTTCCAATGTTCAAGTTGTTAATTACAGAGCAGTTACATGGAACTCTAATCTTGGAACAGGTTCTATGTGATTATGAGGCAATCAGCACCAAACAGCTATGAGGAAGCAGTTCAGAGAGCAGGAAGCAGTTCAGAGAGCAGGCTTCCCTCATGGTGAATGCTAAGCGTGCTGCAAGCTGGGTTCAGTTCCTTTTCCCCAGCTTCCTTCTTCCCTGGTTCATTTTCTAAAGTTTACAGGGACAGTTTCACAGGTGAACGGTCAGCATTCAAATTCCCGCTTTGCTACTTATAGACTGTGTGACCCTGGGGCAATCATTTAATCCTTTTGAGCCTCAATGTTCTCACCAGTAAGATCAAGAAAAAGTAGTAACTATCTGGTAAACTCTCAAAGAAGATTGGATAAAAGAATGGCAATATGAATGAAAAAATAAATGAAACAATAAATGTTGTATTCTGGCTTGTTCCTGATATAGAAAATAAGAAATAAAATTAAGAGATTAAGTAACTTAGACACTAAGTATTAATTAGGTTAATTGACAGCAATAATGCATGGGGCTCAGAAGCAGCTACTTAGGAGGTGAAGATTTTGTTTAGAAATCCAGCTCCACCTTTTATTGATTTGGTGACCTTGAGAGAGTTACTTTAACTCCCTAATGATCAGTTTCCAAATCTAACATATGGGGAAATTTTAAATGGTTAAAGTAGAACTTAAAGTTTCCAGATTCAGTACTTTGGGGATAAATTATGTAGAAAATTGAACAAATGAGCTGGACAGATGTGGCCACTGTGTGTTCTCTTCTATCACTTTCTGTTTTACTTATATATGTCTCATTGTCTACTCAGAAAGTGAGTCACTGGTACCATATCCCTATCATGTATATCTCAGGGGTTTAGTGAAGAACCAAATATTCAGTGCTATAACGATTCTGACATTTCTATATACAAGTAACAGAAATTGCTAAAATAATGGCTCACACAGTCAAGGCACCTACGTATCTCCTAGTGGAGAAAACTGTGAGTAGGTGATTCTAGATTGATGCATTGGTTTAGCAATGAAACCAAAAACAGGGGCCCTTTGTACAATCCATGTCTGCCATCCTCCAATGTTGATTTTTCATTCTCCTGCTTAGCAAATCATGTTCACAAGATGGCTGCACAGCTTTCGCCATCACAGCCTTTTCATGGCAGAAAGAAGAGGGAAGGTTCCTATCATATTTTTCCTTTTGTTAAGGAGGCAAGAGTTTTCCCAGAAATCTCAAATGACTGTCTAAGACCTCATCGGCCAGCACTGGGTCACATGGCCACCTCTTGTTAGAAGGAAGTTTGGTAAAGTGAGTGCCTGGCTTTGCAGGTATTTTAGTGGGAGGGGACAAAGGAGAAGGTGGTGAAAATGGCTGTTGTGTTAATTGAAACAGTGTCGGCCACAGCCGCAGAATAAACATGTGGAGAAGGTCATTGATCACCTTGACTGAAGCACTGCAGACAAGATAAAGACAGCCTGATGCAGAGGAAGATTGAGGACTAAGGGGCTTCATCCACAGGTGAGCTCACATCTGAAAGCCGTGCTTACATGAATGTGAAAATATCTCATCCATGGAGTTGCCCACCTCTTGCATTTAAGAATCAAACTTCACCCTTTCTGTCTCCAAAGCTTCATGTTTATATGGTAAAAAGAAAAAAAAATCAGTGTAACTCAGATGCCTCCCAAGTTTCATCCCACTCTTCTCCAAAGATAGTGTTCTTCCTTGAGTAGTCTTCTCTTTTGTCTACTGTGCAACAAGATGTATAACCATCACCTTCCCCACCAGATAACATGCTAGGATGCTTTCTGTTAGGATATGAAGAAGAGTGATACTGACATGCTAGTGATAATACTCTTGGAGCTGGGAAACTTGCAGAGTAACCAGGCGTCTACTGACCCACCACATTTTTACCTTATGACCAAAGACAAGGCCCTGTCATAATAGACTGTCATCATAGGAGGTAGCATGCATCCATTCATCCAACAGATATTTACACAGTGGGTCCTAAGTGCAGATATTGAAATGATCAGGGTTATAAGACACTAACAATGCCAACGGAGTGGGTTGATATAGAAATTTATTCTAAGTGCTTTATGTGCCTTTTCTTCTTGTTCTGAATGAAAAACATGTGAGGTATTTTCTGTTATGACGTCACTGTAGAAGTAAAGAAACGGAAGCTAAATGGCTGAGTAACACAGCTGTCAATAGTTAATAGTTAGTAAGGGGCAGAGCTGGAATTTTCACCCAGCCTCCAGAACCCCATGACTTTAGCCACTATATGTACTGCCTGTATGGTGAGAAATAAAATAGACATGATCTCTGTTTCCATGGCTAGGAGAGAAAGAAGGACATGAAACCAATTCACACATAAATATGATTTTAAATTGTCATAAGGGCTGCAGAAAAATATAAACAAGCTACCAAGACAGCAAACACAAAGCAAAGTCATTATTTATACTGAGAGTTAAAGAAGCCCTCTCTTCCCCTCTCTCACCCCAAAAATGTGACATTTAAGCTAAAACCTAATAAACAGAGCACATTATCTTGTTGAATAATTTGGGGAGGGGAAGTGAGACTGGTGGGGAGGAGCAAAGTCCCTGGGCAATGGGAATGGCCTCAGCCTGAGATAGAAATGGGTTTGGCAAAGGAGGAGAGAAACAAACAACGGTGTAACTGTGCTATTGCTGCAACAATGCTGGGTAACAGACAACCCTAGTCTCAAGTATAGGTCTGTTCCAGGTGTTTCTTCATTTTTCATGCAAGCAGTTACTGGGTACAGCATGTTCTTTACATGGAGAATGGCAACAGCATAAGAGGAACAGACAGAAGCTTTTCAGTAACCCTTAAGAATTTTTCTTGCAATCAGTCACTTCTGCTCACATTTCATTGACCAAAATACAAGGCCCAGCCAAGCTTCCGTGGGAGGAATTGCAAACTCACTTCACACAGGGTATAGATTCTAATGTAGAGAAGAATAAAAATTTAGGAGCAATAATCCCATCTACCTGTGGCCCAAGGTGTTCTGAAAAGATGGCTATTTTTGTGGCTTTGGGATATGTTCTTTGGGCCAGGAGGAAGAAGGAAGGAGTTAATCAATGAAAGAATTAATCTGGAGAAGTATGGGAAAGGCCTCATGCTATGTCTAGGGGTTGGGTTTTATGCTATCAGCCCTGGAAAAGTACTTATGAAGCCTTCCTGAACAGCTTCCTTAAAGAGAATGTTTGTTTGTTTGTTTTGTTTTGTGTTGTTTTGTTTTGCTGTGCTCTGGAAAGCCAAATCTTGAGCCATGATCATCCCAGCCCGGCTAAGCATTCCAGGAAACACGGCTGATTGTCCATCCCTATAATCATTTAGTGGAAATATATTTCTAAGGATGTTAGAATGGTATTTTAAAGAGCATCATTCACTTGAATTCAAAATCTTTCTAGATCTCTAGAATTCAAGTAATTTTTCTTGCTGTCAAAAAAATTTTTCTCAAACTTTTTATCTTAAGACAGACATAAATGTAACATTCTTATGGATACCAGATCTTATCAGATAAATGTCCTTGTTTTAACATTGTTTATAAACATCTAAAATGTTTAGGCCTAATTGTAATGAGACTGTAAAGAAAGATACATAGTAATTCTTATGTTTCACCACACCCCTTTATCAAAATTTTCAAAATGTCTCATGAAATCATAAGCTAAGTCAAATTTTATTTGATCTCATGTAAACATTCAACATATTAAAAATATCTGTTATCAGCTGCCCTCTTTGCTGGGTAATTTAGAAGATGAAAATTTTCTGACTACTTGGAGCTTAGAGTCTGCTTAGGGTAGTCAGATTGGCATTGAGAAAATTAATACACATATTAATATTTAATAATATTAAAATTAATAGTTTAATTAAAAGACATGTTATGATGGAGATGATTCCTCTTTTCAGTCAATCAATCAACTCTAGAAAGAGATTTCTGCAGCATTCTCCTTTTCTTGTGCCATCTGAAATTTTTGCAACTTCGCTAAGTCGTGAATGGCAGCCGATTTAGGCAAAAGGGAGCTACGACCACCAGTGGGTATCTTGGAATTCCAGTCCCCAGTTTGGATAATTGATTTCTACATAAGTTTCAAAGGAGAGCCTAGCAAAGAAGAGCAGAAGGAGACAAAATGTCCCCAAGGGCTTGGGAACAGCTGTGCCATAAGGTGCTAATGTTTGCATTTTTCAGCATGAGGTTTCCATGTCAGAGAAGGCATGGACATCCAACCCTTGCAGGCTCATTTATCCCTCTAAGTCACGTTTTTATCCAGACCTCTCCAGCAGCTCCCCTCCACCCCCTGCCCCTTCCCCCTTACCATCCTAGAAGGCGAAAAATGGCCACAAGCTTTTAATCAAAGATCAAATACTGGAAGAGAGCGGGCTGCATTTTTTTGTTTTTTTTTTTTTTTCCCAGCCTTATCTGTATCTTAAAGCACGAATATTAGTTACCAACAGAAAACAAACCTAGATTTCACACAACATGAAAACTTTTCCAATATTCTGAGATTACAGGAAGATCCAACTGCACTGAGCACACATTCCAACATGGCAAGGATTGCCTTGTGCTGAGGCCCTGATCCTCCCTCTGGATGGGGCAGAGGCCTTCAGTCCCTTCCGGCTCCCATCACTCATGCATGTCCCAGCCTATTGCCTGCAGGGACAGCTGCAACAACTACTTAGCCCCATGAGATAACCTGCATTGGATAAATAATGTATGGTACTAACTGCATGCCAGGCACTGTGCTGGGAATTATGAATGCAAAGAAGCAGATGCCTGACTCTCTCCATCTTTGTAGAACTCACAGAAAAGCTGGAGAAACAAGCTCATTATTGAAACAGAATGTGGCAAGTGCTATAAGTGACATGTCCATCAAGAACCTTGGGAGGACGTAAGAGCAAGCTGCTGTAAATAATGTCCCATCTGCTGCAGGTAGTCCTCCCCTGTCATGCTCCCTTTGCTTATGTGTGTCACAAAACAGATGGATTCATTTCCCCATTAGGCTGTGAGTATCTCAGGAAATGACCATATCTAATTCACAAGAGCCTAAGATGTAGTGAACACTGAAAACATATGAGTTGAATGCAATGTAGAAAGCGTGGAATGATAAACAAATTGATTCTGATCAGTTAGTATTTCAAGATAGAAGGATAGAGATACAGATAGAGTATAGATATAAAAATCCACATACAGGTATCTCCAGATTCACTCACTGAAGCACTTTCCAATTCATGAGTCAATACATCCCTTCCTAGGATAATCTGAAGCTCTGTTGTTTGCAATGGAAAATGTTATATGCTACATGCGATACATAGAATAATGGGTCCCTAAAGAGGTCCGTGTTCAAATCCACAGAACCTGTAAATATGTTGCCTTCCGTATCAAAAGTAACTTTACAGGCATGATTACATTAAGGATCTTGAGCTGGGGAGAAGATTCTGGATAATCTAGCAGGCTCCATATAATCATAAAGGTTCTTATAAGTGAAAGAGTGAGACAGGGGGATGAAAGTCAGAGGGAAATTGAGATGCCATGCTGCTGCCTTTGATGATGGAGAAAGGAGTCACAGAACAGAGCACATGGGCAGCTTCTGGAAACTGGATAAAGAAAGCATTCTTCCCTGAAGCGTCCATTAGGAATGCAGCCAACACCTAGACTTCAGTTTATCAAAATCTAATGTAAGCCCCTGACCTCCAGAATTGTAAGATAATGCATTTCTAGTGTTTTAAGCCACTAAAATTTTGATAATTTGTTATAGCAGCAATTGGAAATTAATACTACCAAATGACAGCCCAGCATTCTTAATGAGGCAGAGTCTCCATGTTTCTCTGTACACCAGCCTTTTGATTTGCCTTATAATTTCAACCTATATTTAACTATACTTCAAGGAATAAGCAAAATGTGCAGTAGAAAAGTGCAAATTACCTTCAAAATCGAGGTTAGTCTATTTTCCTGAAGTTTAGTACTTATTTCCTGGAACACTTAATCCTTCTAGGAAGTTGACATCTCACAACGATTCCCTGAAATGGCTAAATTACTAACAACAAATCTCATTCTCTTCTACCCAGTTCTATGTGTTTGCTAAATCAAACCAACATAGTCTCAGGGTCCATTTTCCAACTATTTCTGCTTTAAAAATTGGAGCTAAAGGTTGGCCATTTGCTGCTGCTCAACCCAGTGAGAAATTTGTAGTAGAGAAGGTAATATAATTCAGGAGGATATGGGATGCCAGGTTCTGTTGCAACTTAAATAAATCTCAATGAATTAAACTCCCTTAACAACCTTTCAACAATATTGCACATTGAATGTTCATAGAAATTCCTCGAAGCAACTGTACTGAAGTATTAAATGAATAAAAGGCCTTTCTACTAAAAGACCCTGACCTATTCATGAACTGCCACTGAAGGAATACTCATGTTCTTCCAGATCCAACATAATTTAAAATGTTCCAAAGCCTCAGTATATGTGATATTGTAGGAGTTGCTCTATCCATTCTCCCAATGGCTACCGCAGGGAGGTAGGGCAAAGTAGTGATGACCAAATCCAGGCTTTCCTTATTTGTGCCTATTGCCCACAGAATTAAATTCAAGCACTCAAGAAGGGTGAATCAATAGTGGCCCTAGCAGGAAATAAGATTCCTCTCAAATGGGTTTATGGGATAAAATTTCATAAAGAAAGTATTCGTGGGTTTGAAGGGAATATTTACAGGGTTAAGAAGAGTAAGAAGGGTGTTGAGGAACCCAGAAACTGGTATCATCAGAAAGCTGTTATCATCCTTGGATCTGAAGGACCAAGAGGAGGATATAGTGTTGCTGGAGCCCCTCGAAAGCTACTTCCATGGCAGAGGGGCTATGTGAGAGGGGCTGTGGCTCTGAATGGATGCCGCCGTTGCCAGAACCATGTTGCCAAAGCAGAAAACAAGTGGAAAGAAACCCTCCAGTCTTTTTCTTTCTACCTTCCAAACCCCTGTTGGTGCCTCCCACTGACCAACACTGACCACAGTCCTTTATCACGGCTGGTAGAGGAGCTGGGTGATGAGGTCTGGAGGAGTCAGTTCCTGGGCACAAGGTGTGGTGAACAGGAGTTACAAGTGGATGGGGTGGAAACAGAGAATAACCAGCACACCTGGTATTCATGGGTCTCTGGTTGCATTCTGTATTCCCTTTACACATTTGTCTCCTGCAACCCCTACCAAATTTCACAGGGGACTGAGAAACACAGGTCCTGTCCATCGGAGAAAAACCTAAAAACAATATGGCAATATAGACATTCAACTTCTGCCCTGGCAGAAGGACCTTAAGGACCTATTGCAAAAATGCAAAATATGTGTGCAATGATGTTCACTGAAGCATTGTTTGCTTTCAGAAATACTACCTGCAAACCCTAATGTGCATCAACAAGAAACTGGTTGATAGGTTGTGGCACGGTTATACAATGCTACATTATATAGATTATAGAATCTATATAGAATTGATGTGGTAGAATGTTTGTGTCAACATGGAAAGATGTCTAAAAATATTTTGAAGTGAAAACAGCAAGCTCAAAACTGTGTTGACAGTATAATCCCTTTCATCAATTATAATATATTGTACATAAGGTGGAACATTTTCCTAAATTAATCACTGAGCTTTTCATTCTTAAAATTTCCCTTTTACATGTATTAAAACTAGACCATGACATCCTCTGCTCAAGTCAAGAAGGATCCAGCCAAAATGCAGATAATCAAATGTAAATTCTTGTATTTCAAAAACCCTCAAATCAGATTTTGGAAGCTCATAGCATAGATAACATTTTGAGATTAAAAAAAATATCAGAGTAACAAAAATCACTGTCCTGAAGAAGACATGTTACCAATTGACAGAGCCAGACTATTATCTTTAAAAAAAAAAAAAAAAAAAAACTGTTTTCTGTGTAAAAAGTTATGCTTGCTTATTGTAAAAACTCAAGCAATAAGAAAATATACAAAATAGAGGTTAAAATTTTTGTCCCCCAAAATCTCAGTAATAATCTCCCCGTCCTGTGATAATGCTCAATGTGTACGCACAGAAGGATTTCAAGTTTGTGTGTGTGTGTTTGTGTGTGTGTGTGATCAGTCATCTATTGCTGCATATCCGATACCCAAAAACATAGTGGCTGTGATAGCCATTTTATTTGCTCTGAATCTGGAGTTACACTTTGAGCTGTGCTTGGCATACTGGTTCTTCTACCTGGATTAGCTTGGGTCACTCATATGGTTGTAGTCATCCGGTAGCTCTGTTGTGAAGTTGATGCTGGCCAGGTCTCTCTCTCCATGTGGCTTCTCAACCTCTAGAGCGTAAATACAGGGTTTCCCCCGCCTCTTCCCCCACCTCCTCAGGGTTTAGACATTCTAACAGGGAACAAACTGAAGTGGCAAGGGTTCTTGAAGCCTACGCCCAGAAGTGGTCCAATGACTCTTCTGCCATATTCCATTGGCCAAAGCACACCTTGAGGCAAGCTTACATCACAAGGATAGAAAATTACACTGCACTTCTTGATGATAATCTTTACACATCACTTGCAGTCCATGTTAGTCTTTTACACATGCACTAGGAAAAACAAAGCTTAACATCGTAATATACTAAATCATACGAAAAACTAAACAACCAAATAGGAAAAAAATGTGTAATGAATATAAAGAGACAATTTACTAAAGTCAAAATGTAAATGGAAAACAGAATGTTTGTAGAAGATGCCTCAACTTAACAGTGGCTAAAGGAATGCGATTTTAAACTATGTTTACTGGAGGGAAAATATTTTCAACATGAACATAGCTATTGTTTTGGGAGTTTATAGAATATCAGACACTGTACCAAGTGAAAACACATGAGATAAATATGGTTGAAAATCCCATTTCACAGATGAAGAAATACAATCTGGGAGGCTGCCACTGGCTCCAGTAATTGAGAGATGGGACCTTGGGCCGTGTAAAGGCAGTTGGATCCAGGGAGTGGTTAGGAGCCTCTCAAGCTATGATCCATCAGTCACTTCTCTTCAATGATCTTCTTTGCATTCATTATACTTACAGACATAGAAAAGATCTGAGTGCGTGGCTCATGCCTGTAATACAAACATTTTGGGAGGCTGAGGCGGGAAGAATCACTTGAGGCCAGGAGTTCAAGACCATCCTGGGTAACATAATGTGACCCCATCTCTACAAAAAAAAAAAAATTGACTGGGCATGATGGTATGCACCTGTAATCCCATTTTCTTGTGAGGCTGAGATGTAAGGATCACTTGAACCCAGGAGTTTGAGGCTGCAGTGAGCTATGATCACACCACTGCACTCCTGCCTGAGAGACAAAGCGAGACCCACGCTCTTCAAAAAATAAAACAAAAAACTAAAACAAAACAAGACAAAACCCTCCTTAACTTGTGAAATAAACACAGAAAGCTTTAGCATAGTATAGATTTGGGGTTTCATTCACTCCAACCAACTAATTTTTACACAATAAAACTAAGGTCTAAATGGGAAGAAAGTTGCCAAAATCACATGCGTAAAGCTACTTACATATAAGGACTCAGACCAGGGGCTCCTACTATGTCCCTGTATCCTTTCTTCTATGTCTTCCCGCTTCCTAATCACTGTTCCTTAACAGATAGGACACATACCCCACATGACTTATCTAGGCACTTTTGTCCTGTTTCAAGACCTCTATGAAATGAGAGGTCCCTATGACTGCTTAGATGGCGGTGAGGAGACACTGAAGAGAGACAGATCCATGGAGCAACAGAAAGCTTCATGCTTCATTTGTCTTCCTTTGGTTCCCTTCCACATCTGTAAGCACACTAATAAAAGCAGAAGAAAACTGCTTTTCTCTTAAAAAGCAAAATGAATAAATGCCACTGCAATCAATCAATTGCTGGAATAGAGCATTATTCTTATAACCATCTCTACCTTTCTGTATTCAACTTGGTGGGTTTGAAGTCACCAAGAGAAAATAACTTAGTCATTTTTTTTCAGATGGCATTTTCCAGACAGGGTGGCTCTCTCTGTTAGCGGGCAGGACCTTCTGTTACTTGGATCATTCTATAACAACATTTAGAAGCAGTGGAATAAAATTGCAAAATGAAACCAAGTCCATTTATTCAGCGGAATCGAATTGCAAGATGAAACCACGTCTGGGAAGCATATTTTTTTACAGAAGAATCTGCAGTTTAGTTTTGTTTATTGCAACACAGGTGCAAAGGGTCAACCTCACCTCATTTATCTTTCAGGGCATGTTATTATTATTGGTCTGTGAAAGAATCCTTTTTTGTTCACTCATTATGTTGAACTATGTAAAATTACCACTTTTGTAAGATAAAAAAGCAATCAAATATTAATGATTTCAAGTGGCTTGCCTAGTAGTTATTCCTTATCAAACCCACATCCAGGCTGGGTGTGGTGGCTCACTCCTGTAATCCCAGCACTTTGGGAGGCTGAGGCGGGTGGATCACCTGAGGTCAGGAGTTCAAGATCAGCCTGACCAACATGGTGTAACCCCAACTCTACTAAAAAGACAAAAATTAGCTGGGCGTGGTGGTGTGTGCCTGTAATCCCAGCTACTCGGGAGGCTAAGGGAGGAGAATCGCTTGAACCTGGGAGGTGGAGGTTGCAGTGAGCCGAGATCTTGCCACTGCACTCCAGCCTGGGAAACAAGAGTGAAACTCTGTCTAAGCAAACAAACAAACAATAACCCCCACATTCTACTACCATTTTCATTTCTTTATCGCCAGCCACTTACATAAAATTCACATGTATTTTGTTACGGTCATGAAGATATTTATGTGTTCTGTCACAATATATATTGCTATTTGGGGTAAATAATATACTCATTCTGCCTCTTTCTTAATTCAGGACAATACCTTTTTAAAAACACCTACCTCTGTTTCTATTTTTAAATCCACTCTTTTGTTCCTAAGTATGGCACAATGCTGGACAGTTTTCCAATAACACTTTTTAACCACTCCACTCTCCCATTGGTGGGTACCCAGGTTGCATTGAAGCACACATCTCCAAGATACAACACTGCAGTAAGCATTCTCACACATATATGCTGAGGGGTTCATCTTCTGCTCATTGATTTGTACAAGCTCCCTGGATATTTCATCTGTCAGTCTTTTGATAAGTTTAGACTCTGCAGATACCCCTGGGGAGACATTCTTCTATCTCAAAGTGCTTCAGAAAATCCAGTAGTGATCTCAACAAAATGCTGTGACAACACAATCTTCCTTATTATGATAACATAGTCTCTTCAGTTGCAAGGTGAAATCAATTCCTGGGGTTTCTCACATTCTCATTTTCATTAAAACTAATTCTCTCCAAAACATGTCAAAACATTATTCTTTTTATGTGTCTGTATAGTCTCCTTTACTTATAAAACTGTTTTAATTTTCAAAATTAAAATAGATGCTACTCATTATTCACAATCGCAAAGAATCAAACCAAATGCCCATCAATGATAGGCTGGATAAAGAAAACGTGGTACAAATACACCATGGAATACTATGCAGCCATAAAAAGGAAAGAGATCTTGTCCTTTGCAGGAACGTTGGTGGAGCTGAAAGCCATCATCCTCAGCAAACTAATGCAGGAACATAAAACTAAGCACTGCATGTTCTCACTTATAAGTGGGAGCTGAACGATGAGAACACCTAGACACATCGAGGGGAACAACACACACTGGGGCCTGTCGCAGGGTGGCGGGGGAGAGAGAGGATCAGGAAGAATAGCTAATAGATTCTGGGCTTCATACCTCGGTGATGGGTTTATCTGTGTAGCAAACCACCATGGCGCACGTTTACCTATGTAACAAACCTGCACATCCTGCACATGTACCCCAGAATGTAAAATAAAAGTTGAAGAAAAAACAACAAATGCTACTAATTCACTTTAAGGAAAAAAATATTAAAATGTTCAATGGTCTAATTTGTGATAAATATGAACAACTACCAGAATCAAGATGTGAAGCAATATAGATGCACAAAACTAATCAAAAGAAAATTCTAGAGTGGGAAATTAAGAAACAGGCATTATCTTTGCTCTGCAGGTAAATTCACTCTGATTGCCTTTCTGGTAACTGTATCTTCTTTCCCGCTGAAGAACCATCCCTCTCCGACTCTCAGTTCTGCCCGTGTGGAACCCAACCTCTGCTAACAGAGGAAACTTAGACAATAACAGCTAAGCCAAGCAGTGTGTTCCTGCCTCTCTCCACAGTGACTGGCTCAGGCTTGGGCGTGGAGAGCTAAGGGAGAGCCAGGGAGAGCTAAGGAGCACTGACTGGGGAGAGCTAAGGAGCGCTGGGGAGACTCCCTTGGGTCATCTACAGATGAGATTCTCACCCTTTTGCGTGGAAGCTGACATCCAGAGGTTTTGAAGTCTGGGCTGGTGCATCTGTCTTTCACTGATTCATCCATTATCTTTTTTTTTTTTTTTTTTTTTTTTTTTTTGAGACCGAGTCTCACTCTGTCACCAGGCTGGAGTACAGTGGCATGATCTTGGCTCACCACAACCTCCGCTTCCCGGGTTCAAGCAATTCTCCTGCCTCAGCCTCCTGAGTAGCTGGGACTGCAGGTGCCCACCACCATGCCTGGCTAATTTTTTATATATTTTTTTTGTAGAGACGGGGTTTCACTGTGTTGGCGAGGCTGGTCTCAAACTCCTGACCTCAAGTGATCCTCCCGTCTCAGCCTCCCAAAGTGCTGGGATTACAGGTGTGAGCCACCATGCCTGGCCTCATTATCCTTTTTACATATAAAAGAAAGTCTCTCTGAGAAGCCAAGAATACTCCTGGAGCAAGTAAAATGAGAAAGTTACCTGAAAGAAACGTACTTCAGACAGAGAGAAGACCCAGGGCAGAGATCCTGCTGCAGACACAGCCTTGGAGTATGGGGAAATAGGAGAGTAGGGAGCTAGAGTGGGGTGAACAGAGTAAATGATGGTAGGAGGCAAAGGAAAAGCCTATTTTTGAATGTCAACAGCATGGCATAAAAAAGAAGAGAGAGCAGGGGGAAGTCAAAGGAGTTTGGTGTGTTCTTGATAGCAAATGAAGGCTGAAGGCAGGCCTACACCTCAGGGCTATGTTATGACTTTGGGTGCTTCAGAAGCTTTTGCTTTGTGGATTCCTACTCTATTAAAATATTGTTATAGTGATTTTTCTTCTAATTTTAAAATAAATTAAAATTAAAATATTTTCATGAACCCTTTAATAGTACAGTGGGCCTCAGGCATGGTGTCTATTGAGACTACTGGATAAATTGGCCATGCTACCCCTGGCTTATTATTTATAGAAAGCATTAAATTACTTTTTTACTTAAGCCAGCTTTGGTATCGTTTTCTATTATTTGTAGTCAAAAATTGTTAACCAACACAAAACGTTTTCTTTTCCTTAAGCAACATTTAATAATGCACGCATCCTTCCCGCGAGAAACCATTAGTGTAAGCAAAACAGACGTTAATTACCAAATTTAAAACAAGCAAACTTTGGTGTTCTATTTCTTGAGTATTATCAGAGGAGGATCAAGTGCAGAGCTAGACAATAACTTTAGAGAAGTAATCATGGCATGCAGCTGTGCTTCTATTTTAATAGATCTGCTTCTCCTACATAACCTGCCATCAGTGGGTGACAGGCTGGATATCATTCCCCAACAGTGGGGAGGAGTTAGGCAGTGTCTTCACCCCCACACCCCATCCTCAATTCATTTTATGGCATTTAGCTGTTGTCAAGTTATGCTATTATAGAACAAATTATAGAACAACTGGCCCACTGTGGGCCTGAGCCTGGCATCTTTATACCATTAATACCTGCTCAAACAAGCATGTGCAGGTGTAACACTAAAAATAGCACAATAAAAGTGTTTCTAGCTGGACAGGAGAAAGCCCAGACTCCCAACACAGTCACTGTTACTAATAGCTAAGCTGGACATTTTTCAGTACTTGATGCTTTTCAAAGCATTTCGATGTGCATTATCTCCTGTGATCCTCAGAGACCACCCCCGTGCCCTCCACAGAAGCTATAATTCTCATTTTATCAAATAGGAAAATAAAGCTCCAACATTCAAGGAACTTGTCCATGATGTCTATGTCACAGGGTGGGGTCTCCAATACTGATCTTGAGTTCCGATTCGAATGTCCCTGGGCCATCTCCATCCCCTTCGTAGCTTTGGGAGGAGTGAGAGGCTCTCCTGTGTTTAAATCTTGAGAATCAATGATATTCTCTTTGCCCAAGACCATCATGTGAGATCCCACATTTGAACCATAGAAATTTTGGAGACTCACATCCTAAAACCACGTTTCTCTATCCCAGTTAATCCCGTCATGTATTGACCCGGAAACATCATCTCATTTGCCTATAAGACAGAGAGAGAGAATGATAGAAATGCTGGAAGAACGAGCCTTGGGGCGGTATCGCCCAGATCTGAATCCACACAGCAGCTGCTTCGGTCCCTGTAACTCAAGGCTTCCTCTTAATCCTCTGTCCTCCATCAACACCTGGCTGAGCAGGTACTTCACAAACATTAAAAATAGTATAATTTCTAGGATCTATTTGTTAACTTGATCTCATTGGTCTATTAAAGCATCACACTGAGTTTCATGTAAATCATCTGTAGTATCCAGAAAGATTAGAGAAGAAGCTTTTGAAACAACCTCCACTTAACCTGCTTGCAGGGGATCCCACACCCTCCATTCCCCTCCATGGCCAGCAGGGGGCGCTCGCTCTAGGTGCTGGCTCTCTCTCCAGCTGCCAGGGCATTTCTGCTCCCATCAGGGGTGCTTTAAGCTTAGTACCAGCCTCTGTTATGGCATTATTACACTGCCCTCCTTTAATCTATACTATATAAATCCGTGAGCAGATTGAGCCGCTTCTATGAAAAGGAGCATAAATGCTGTGGAAAGATTCTACAAAACAACATGACTAAAACCATTTCTGACAAATTAGGTGTGGACAACAGAACTCTAAAACACAACGGAAAATTAAGCTCTGGAACGGTCCCTTCCTCCAATTGATTCTGAAGTGTCTTTAAGTCATTTCCCCACATTCGAGAAAACACAACTGGATATTGCAGATGGCCCGTTAGGAAGGTTATGGTTTATGACTGAAAGAGATCACACCAGCCCTGCAGACTTCTGCAAATAAAAATCTTGGCTCCACACAGCAAAAGACTGGGAAAGGAATACTTATTTATTTATTTATTTTGAGACAGAGTTTCGCTCTTGTTGCCCAGGCTGGAGTGCAATGGCGCGATCTCGGCTCACCACAACCTCTGCCTCCTGGGTTCAAGCAGTTCTCCTGCCTCAGCCTCCCGAGTAGCTGGGATTACAGGCATGCACCACCACACCCTGCTAATTTTGTATTTTTAGTAGAGACGGAGTTTCTCCATGTTGGTCAGGCTGGTCTCTAACTCCCGACCTCAGGTTATCTGCTCACATCGGCCTCCCAAAGTGCTGGGATTACAGGCGTCAGCCACCGCTCCCAGCCCATACTTTTAAATAAAAGAGTAATTATATAGAGATCACTGTTTAAACAATTTCTTAATCTGTATCTTTTTTATGGAGCCAACTCATAAAGTCACTTTTTTATGAAGCCTTGTCCTAGAGGGCTGCCTCTGCAGTGCTAGGTGGGTCTGCAGAGCTCAGCTTCCCTCTGCTGCAGATGAGTGTTGCATCCTTGGACAAATCATTTCTGCTCTGAACCTTCATTTTGCCTTCTGCATATGAGGTGTTTGATGAAAACAATTTCTGAGATTCCTTCATTTCTGATATGCTAGGATTCCACAAGCAAACCAATCTATGGGTGTGCACTTGGAGAGAGTTCTGTAGAGACGAAAAAGTTTTACCCTATGACAGAAGGACAAAATTCAGTAAAGAGTAGGGCTCCCATAATATAAGAAACCACTGCCAGCCCATGAGAACATTTTAGAGGGGAATGTCAAAAACATATTACCATATAAAATGTTAATATATATTAATATGTGAAAGTAATTAACAAAATGAGGAAGAACTCTCTTTTAAACTTTCTGATTAATTTCAGAAGGAAGTCTCAATTGAGGGGACTATGTCTTTGACCCTTTTGAACACTTGTCCGTCTCCCCTTTAATCAGGAACAACTATGACCTAGGACCAGGGCCTTCAGGAATCTTCACCCCTAACTTGAACTTCATAACACTGGAGAGGTAATTTTGACATGATTATTATTGTTATGCTTTATTTAAAGCCAGAAAGTTTAATTTTTTCATTTACAGAAGTGATATCAAGTTTCTGTTTTAGGTAAATTCATGTAAATAAGCATATGAGTTGATTTAAGGGAAGATATTGATTGAACAATATTTCTCATGATGTGTACATGTGGAAGAAACAGTGGAATCAGATGAGAGAGAGGTTTGCAGCTGCTCAGTCCCTGAGGGCAGGAGTCCCCCGGGTTGGACACATCTGTTCCATCTTCACCACTAACAACTCATGGGACTTCCAGGAATGGAAGCCACAAACAAAACAGGCTTTCAAACAAATTAAAGGAAAATGTAAGATGTGTAAAATGAAAACGCACACATTTACACTTTCTAATCTCTGCCTCACACACAGACATGTACACTCACACACATTTTCAAAGTGGAAATATGTCTGTAGTAAGGCCATGGGTGGTTCATCGCTGAAACACATTATCCCGTTTCATGAACAATGTTACCCCAGTGAATTTAATGTGATTTCTTGTCATAACCATCCAGCAACCTCACATTGACACGGCAATGTGAAGTTTTCGAAGTCTCCTTCATTGGTTGGATCTCTACGGATCTGATGGTCTGGTTCCTGTTTGACAGATAAGAACCTAGAGCTCTGTGAGGCAAAAGGATTTCGCAAAAGTCACACAGATTTAGGACCAGGTCTCTGCATGCCCAACCCCGATGTGGCTTCTCTTTCCACTGTCCCATCTATAAATTGTAAGAAGATGGTAAGACTGTCTCTTGTTCCTGTTCTTGTCCATTGCTGCATTATCATTTCTCCTGGGAACATCACTCTAAATAAAAACAGGTATAAGGGAACATTCTATACTATCTTTGCAACTTCTCTTTAAATTTAAAATTATTCAGAAATAAAAAAGCTTACTGAAAATTAGAATGCAGGATTTTAATTCTAAGGGAAAGGAAAATTCTCCATGTATCTAATCTAAAAAAAACATGGAAGTCATCATGAGTTTGTTTCTGGGGGATGATATCAGATGAAAATGGGCCCTTAGGTAGTAGGAGGTGGCAGGTCTCAGTTCAGTGTTTACACATGGCTCCACGCAGAGCTACAGACTGAGTTCCTTAGCAGCTTCCGTAGGAGGTCCTTTGAAGAAGGGCTGCTCTGCATTCGATATGTAGAAACTTGTGGAGAAGATGAGGAAACTGAGGAAAACCACCAATGCAATCCACAATCCAATCCCTTGACTCTCTGCAACCGCACAAAAAAAGGAAAAGCAAAGAAATAGTAATTAACACAATGCATACAAACTGAGGTCTACCCATCACTTCCAATACCTGTTTTCCCCAACAGTGAAAATTCGTGTACAGAGTATTCCCCAATGACTTCTCTCAGGCAATGTAGAAAGGGAGAAGTCGATTCAGCATTGACTAGTTGGTACTGTGGCTCAACAGGCTCCATCTCTGAAAGTGTTGATTCTTCCTTTTCTTAAAGGAAAGAAAAACAGGAATCAATATCGTTTGTTTGCAAACCTTATGCACAGTAAGCTGCCCATCACCCAAAACTATTTTTGACATCCCGCCTGTGGAATGTGGCATGCTGATACTTGAGAACTTCTTGCTTATTTCCATCATCCCTTTATGTTGCATCTACTTGGGGAACCTGTTAAGGAGACATTCAGATATCTCCATCATTTCCACTAAAATGTGAATAATGCTGTGGGAGAACATTTACACTTCTAGAATCTTCCATTCTATAAAAATTAAAAGTCATGCCACATAGCTGCTACTGAGGGTGCCTAAAGATTGAAACTCAAGCATATTAACTGCAGTATCACTTATAACATCAAACCAAATAAACAGCAAATATGCTGTAGCCATGTTCCTGAATTGGAATCTGATATTTATAAGCGGAACAATCCTGGGCAAGCTGCTTCGTCTTCCTGTGATTCAAGGTTTCTCACATAGGACACGGGATGATAATAGATTCAGCCTTGCTGGGTGATTGTAAGCATCATATGAACTCCTATGCTAAAGCACTTAGAAGAGTTACTGGCATGTTTAAATCATAAATATCCCCTTGCTATTGTCTTTATTAATAATTAGCATTAAATGGTAATTAATAAGGGACTGCATAAAGAAATCAGGATATACTTTTTAAAGTGTATATTTCTAGTTCATCATCTAATAACTTATTCTATGGAAATAATCAAACATTTTGGAAAGAGATATATGTGCCAAGATGTTCATGGTAACCATTATTTATGACAGCAAGAAGCCTTTGAAAGCAACCTGAATATCCATCATTAAAATGATTAAATAAATGTGGTTCAGACATGCTATAAATAGGATATTAAATCTCCATCAGAACCATGACTTGAAGATAATATAATCTCACGGGAAGCATTTGCAATGTGTTATATGAAGCAGCATATATAAAATACTATTTAACCAAAACTAATAATTCCTTACACAAGTGTACACGTGTATATGTAAAATACATAAAGCATATATAATTATGTCACACGTATTTGTTATTTTGAGGGGATCTTCAGCAACATTTCTAATAAAAAATGTGACCCTATAGATGGGACAGGGTCCAGATAAAAATGCAAAGAGGAAGACATGCCTTAGGAGATCATTCTCAGAAGAATTATCTGCTGTAACTTATACTTGAAAAGGTAAAGCGATGCAGAAGCACCATTAATAAAGAATCTGGGAAAAATCCAATGTCACGTTTAGTTGGTTTATTTCCCCTTGTAAAAGTGGCCAGTTACCTTTCTGGTGAATTCATTCATAAAGCGATGGAGGTTGAGAAGCGGGGCTCCTGCAAGTCCAGCACTCTGTGCAGTGTGATCCTTCCGTATCCAGAAGATACGCAGCTGAACACATGCAGATTAGAGATTTTCAGGTTTTGTCTTCTCCCCAAATCCAGGAGGAACCCAAGGCAAGATTAAAATTCTGATTGCATTCCAGATATGGAAAAAAGAACTTGAAGTAAAGGCAAAACTGAAATAGGCTTTCTTCCCATCATGGGTGGGGTTTCTCATCTCCTTTATCGTTTAGGTAGATATTTTTATACCTTTTGATTTATGAAAAATTTAAGAATGCAGTTTCTTTTTTCTTTCAGTTTTGTGGCAAAATCCTCTGCTTTGTGTGAAATAGCTGCAGTAAAATGCTGTGTAAATTTTATCTGAAAGGTTCTACGGAAAGCCATAAACATCAGTTGCTAGGGCCTCAGTTTGTCCAAGGGCCAGATTGCAACAAAATATTTTTGAATTTAGACATATATATTGAATTTTATAAAGCCACAAAAATATGTCTTGAGGAATACATGGTAGTTTGACAAGCCAACACCTCTCTCCTTAATCCAAAATTCAAAAGGTAGTATAATTCTTTCTTTCCCAGCAGCAGAGGAAGTGACTATTGCAACCCACATTCTGAGTGTGAAATGAGGCCTCATTCAGTTTCCTAATTTCCAAGATTCTTTTTCAGCACCCAGCTGAATAAAGTATGTCCTGGGAAGAGAGAAGAAGAAAGTCTTAATGAGGCCCAGCTCAACAGGGTGTCTCATTACTGGCCTGGTTATGAGCTACAGAGAGAATCAAGCATAGAGGTTCAGAGAAAGACAGAGTGAATCTGTGAGGCTTGCCAGACAAGCGCTATGGGAGAAGCTTCCTCCAGCCCGGCGGTGCCAAGAGAAGCTGGCTCCAGAGAAGCCTCAAAGAGCTTCGGGGGAAAGCTAATGGCCCATTGGAAGGAAGCCACTCCCAGGGTCTTGGGAACCCTGGCAGGAGACTGCGGCCCACAGCGCTTCCACGGACTTAACTGTCTCATTTGTAGCTGTGCTTGGAACACATACATCATCCCTGGAAATGTGCCTCTGTCAGGATTGAGGAAGCCCTGAATGCAAACACTCCGGCAGTGTGACAGGGCCCCTGATACAACCCGCAGACCTGAAGGCCTGCCATATCCTCCCCACATCTCTATAAAGCTAATTACCTGCTGCATGGCCAACGGGGAAAAGGATTCATGGCATTTCCACAGCTGAGGCAGTTCCTGTAGCATAGACAGCCAACGACTCAGGCACAGAGAACCAAGCTCAGGTCTCCTTCCAATGGGCCAGCTGGCCAGACTTTCAAAAATCTCCAGCAAGATCAATGCCTCATTAAATACCGAAATGTAGCCGTGTGGAGTCGCTGACAATACACAGTTACATACCCTCTTGGGTCCATGGTCTTGCCTGCCAAGAGCTTGAAGGAGCCTCGGTAAGTAAACTGATATTCATCCGGGGTGATGGTGTTGATGTCACTGCTTAGGGTGAAGGAAAGGGCCAAAGGTTCCTCATAATTTTGTAACCAGGCTTGTCTGAAATATCGGTTTCTGATTTTTTGACACAGCTTCCTCTGTGCTGTCTTCATGGCTGTTACTGGCTCCTTGCTCAGCCTGGAAACCTCTCCACCAGGATGTGTGCAGAGATGTCAGCCCCTGGTCAGGCATCCTCAGCCATCTGGCACCCCCTCAAAGAGGCCCTCTGTCATCTGCCAATCTACAGTCGATACCACCATGACTTTCCCATAGAGGGAATTCCCAGAAAACAGTTCTTGTTCTCGCTTCTAGTCCAATTTTCCCCAGAAAAAGTCACATTTCTGACAAGACTTGTTTCTGAAAAGCCACTACGCTGTCAACTGCCGGTTTGTCCTGGGCCCCCAGACACCTTCCTCTGTTGTGTATGCCTCCGAAATACATTTCCCAGGCTCTCTCCCACCGGCTTTCAGCAGGTTCAGCCAATTTGGAGGCACTGGTGCAAGGTTGGAGGAGAAGAAGAAGGAAGAACTCGAGTATGTGTTTTTCTTCCTGCTTCTTGCAGCATTTTCTGCTAATGGCTTTGTCTCCTATGTGGTTCCAACTCCTTGAGAGCTCCCCTTACCGTCTTCTCATATCCTCCAGCAACATCATCCAGGACAGCTACGACTATGGTTCTAACTTCCACCAAACAGTCCCCGTACTTGCGCACTAGCAGTATCACCTCTTCCCTCTGTCCCTCCAACCATAGGAGTGGTAACAGTTTCTTGCAACTCTTAACCTCTGCGTTCTTTTCTCAAGAAATATTAAGCTTTTTTTTAGCTTTTCTACACCTGGGTAAATAATCCCTGTATTAAATCCCTCTGTTAAAATACCTAGAATGTTTTTTGTTTTCCTAGCTGGAATGTGTCTTAGAGATTCAGTCATTTCATCCTATTCTGTTTCCTTAAAAACATTTATTGCCGCCTAAAAATGTCCTATGTATACGTTTTGTTACTCTTCTATCAATCATCAATCCCCCCAAAATGTCCAGCCTCCTGAGAGGAAACGTTTTGGTATTTAGCTCACTGTTTCATCCCAAGTGCCTAGAGGGAGGTCTTACATATTTGCCAAATGAATAAAAATCTGTGCATCAAGTAAGATGACCTCCAATTAAAACATGAAATAAGATGGATTAAAGGGTGGACAGTGGACCAGATGGATAGATACGTGATGAGCAAACATTGTAAAATATTAACTGTTGAATCTAGGAGCTGGTATATGGATGTTCACTGAGCAATCCTAGTAGCTCTGTCACTACCTGAATAGGAGGCAGCTGATGCCCTGAGAAGCTGAGACACCTGAGCTGGAGCCCCAGGCCTGCATGAGCCCACTGTAGGTACTGAGAGAAACCACGTAAGTCCTCTGAGGTTCAGTTTGTTTTCTCTGTGCTAAGTGGGATTTTATAGTCTATCCACCCACCAAAAACACACCATGAGACAACTTAAATGTGCCCTTAACCTTTGACTTCATTTTGATGGGACCATCCACAGAGTCCATTTGCTTTGGACTTCTCACTAATTGAGACTGATCTTCCTCTTCTTTGGCCATTATGTATATCAGTAAGGATTCTTTTAAAAGAATTCTATAAAACATGCAGTCACTAGGAGTAGACTGGCTTCAGGCTCAGATGGATTCAGGTGCAACCAATGGCACCAACATGCTTTTTCATTCATTTCTCAGTCCTGCTTTCCATGGTGTGGCTTTTTGCTTAAGCTCCACAAGGTGACAAGAACACCATCTCCTAAATGTTGTTCAGTCCATCAAGAACTGGTTAGGGTTCCTTTTCCACAAGTCACAGTAGAAGAAGGAATAAGCCATGCAGCATGTCATTGTCTCTAGTGGGTCATGTGTCGTCACTAACCCTATCACTGTGGCCTAGGGGGAGACTATATTGAGTAGCCCAGCCTATGCCAGGAGGCCCCCTACCGAGGCCTAAAAAAGGGTCAGTTTTTCTGAAGTACAAAGCTGGAAGGTAGGGGACAGGTGGTGTTTTTCCATAGCATTCTTAGATACTGTTAGGACAGGAAGGGCAAAGGAATGCTAAGCAGAAAAAAATTAACAATTGTTCATTCCCAAACCCAAACAAAATAGTGAAATAATAACATAATCTGACTTATTCAACTCAGTAATCTTGTTAAAAAAGAGAAACCAAGAGTGCCCTCAGAGTGTACCAGATATTTAAGCAATTATTCTGGAGAAAAAAGTTACTGTTGGAATTGACTCTTTTTTTTTTAGCATTGTAAGATTAGACTGTCTGAACCCAGTGCCATGAATGATCTAATAGAAATACTTTATGACACTGGGTCCTCAGTAATAAGCTCAGTAGCAATGAAAAAATCAGACATAAGTTAACCCCCGACCAATGTGATCTTGGCAGTTTTACCAATTTCCTCCAAAAGCTTAGGCTAGAGATCCAAAATAGATCCCATGCTAGATGACATTTTTCTTCTAATCTAACACAATTTTTAACATCTAATTAGTTGTCAATCTTTAAAAAATCCAGCTCTCTAGCTTTTCTTTGAAAATATAAAAAGATCTGGAAAGTGGGACATACATTTTTCCTGGCACTAGTCAGATGGCCCTCAGTGGCTGCTGAGCCCTTTACATGGGGCCTCTGTCCTAAGGTTCGCTGCAGTCCCCACCATTCCCTGCTGCCCATGCCCAGACTGCTTGCCTCATTTGTGTCCCCTGCCTGGCCTTCCTGTCACCCCTTCAGGGAACTGTGTGAGAACAAGGCCGACATTGGGGAAAGCAGCACTGGAGATGGAGACAGAATCCCCATGATACATTTGAATACCAGGACCCAGGGTGAGTTTATAGCCCCGATCTAGGCATTGACTCCTCATCAATATGGTAATTTAATTTGTTTGTTAAAAAGGTAAAATACAAGTCATCCAGGATAACTTGGGGAAGCCAGTTTCTTGTATGGACTGATTTACAAAAACTAGAGAGATAGAACAATCATGTTGCTTTTTTCTTGTGGAAAGACCTCTGCTATGGACTGAACTGTGTCCCCCAAAATTCGTATGTTGAAGCCCTAACATCCAATCTGGCTGAGTTTGGAGTAATGAAGTAATTAAGGTTAAAGTAGGTGGTAGTCTGATAGGATCCTTATAAGGAGAGATAGCAGAACGCTCGCTATTTCTCTCTGCCACGTGAAGACACTGTGAGAAGGTGGTTGTCTGCAAGCTGGGAAGAAAGCCCTGGAACTAATCAGCAGGCACTTTGCTCTTGGGCTTCCAGTCTCCAGAATAGTGAGAAAATAAAATTTAAGCCACCCAGCCTATGGTATTTTATGGCAGTACCAGAAGATTAACGCAACTACCTTAAGGAAATTAAGACTGTTTAAAAATGGCCATAACACTTGTTGATGTATTAATGGGTGCTTCTTAAGAGTTGAAACAGTGTCAGCTCAGGAGCTTAACTGTCACTCCTGCCGTCTTTTTCATGGTATTATATTACTGTTATATTATGTTTAACTTATGTTACAGAAAAAAACAGATGTAAGTATCATTTCTATCAGAGCTAATTATGTAAAGGCCGCTGTTACACGTATGACACAGCCAACACATATCCACAGTGGAAGACACAGTATTATCCCTGGAAACAAATAATATAGTTGGGAAGAGAAGACATATGCTCACAATAAATACTGATGCATAAATGAAAATGCATTATGCACTGCTAAAATTGCTTTATACAGTTTTAACTATTGTCAGAGTTTAGAAAAAGAAGAGATAAATGAGTTTGAAATAATCACAAATAGGTAATTAAATTAATCTTAACTATTAATTGCTAACTATACATCAAGCATGAGTTAAGTACTTTGCATCTACTGAGTCATATGAGGTTAAGAAGTTTGCCCACTGGCACAAAACTAACAAGGGGTGAGTTAGGATTTGAACTCAGGCTCCAGAGGCTGTGCTCAGATGAACTATTTCCTTCCTGATCCTTCAACCAGCTGCAGGCTGTTTGCAAGTTTCCCTTTGAACTGATGGCTGGTAAAAGTCACAGGCTCTGTCATGTCCTTCTCTTGTGTCCCCTAGTAGACAGTCCTGTTAAGTACCCAAAGCAGGCCTCATCATTGTTTTAATTAGTAAAGTTTCAGGAAATGTCTGTGGAATAAAACCTATAAAGAGGAACTCAAGAAAAAAAATAGAAGATTTATTATCCCACAAGCCTTAGAAATCTCCAACCCAAAGTCTCAATAAGAACAGTTTACACAAGAGCCTTGGAGGAAACTGGGAGAATCGCTTGAACCCAGGAGGTTGCGGTGAGCCGAAATCGCGCCATTGCACTCCAGCCTGGGAAACAAGAGTGAAACACCATCTCGAAAAACAAACAAACAACAAAAAAACTATATCCCTTATTCCCCAAACCTAATCAAGCACTACTTCCTCTGTGCCAGGTCTTAACTACTTGTTGAGGATGTGGAAATGTAGATGGCATGATTTCTGGTCAGCTCATGTGGTGGAGAAGACAGACCCACAAATCAAATGCTGTGTGTAATGCATTGCAGTGTCTACATGTGTACTTTGCATATGGAAAGTCAGCCTGGGAGGGAAGAACGTCAATCTTTTCTCTGGAAAAGCACATGTCTGAGCTGGTTTTGAAGGATAAGAAATGACTGGGAGGTGTGTGAGTGTCTGTTGGAGGTGGATAGATAAACTCCACGCACAAGAGTATGAGGGCAAAAAGATTAGTATCAAGCAAAAGCAAATTACTTTTCATGGAGAACAGAGTTACAACAGTACCCGTATCTGGTATCTGTGGTTCTTCCTGTCCAGCATCCACACTTCTCTCTGAAAAACATCCTGATTGTCCCTTAGGCCTCACCCCTTTCTTATTTTCAGTCTCTGTGGTCTGGGTGGGATGAACCCCACCCCAATCCTAGTTCCAAGACTGGTCATAATGCTGGCAGTCATGACCTCACAACATTCTATGCACCTGGAGCCTGGATACAGTGATGCCATCAGGTGTGGTATGTGATCACAGGCAACTCAGGAACAGCTCTCCAGCCCCAGGACTTCTGCTGGAACCGCTGGGAGTTGGAAGCTTTCTTCCCACTGAGGGGCAAACCTTCTAGGTATCTGAAGATGTTGAAGACCATTTCCTGGAACAGCAGAGGTAAATGCCCAGAGGATGAGAACACATAGCCATTAGGAGAGCCTGAAAGTTCAGTGTGACTGAAAGATGAAGTTCAAGAGAAGGGACAAACTGCAAAACACAAGCTGGAGAGTTTTAGGTAAGAGTCATATCACAAAAAGCCATTAAGCATTTTAAAATGCTTAGCCTTTATCCAAAGACTAATGGAAAGGCACTGACATGACCTAATCATGAATGAGAAGATTTGATTAAATATATCTCTCTACAATGATGGAGAATGGACCAAAAGCAGGCGGGGACAAGGACAGTAAACTCTGCTAGGGACTGCTAGAATGACCCTGAAAGAATAGCCCTGAAGATAGAAAGAAGTAGATAGTTGCCAAAGATACCTGTGGAATACAAAAGTACCAGTGCCCACCAGATCAAACTACACATGGATCTGAATCTCAGAAAAGGGCTCCGAGCTAGGGAAAGAGATTTAGAAGCCTTCAGCAGAGAGATGATGTTTTAAGCCTTAGGAGTGAATGAAATTACCCAGAGAACATGCATGATGAGAAGAGAACCTGGAACAGCAGGGGCCAAGATTTAGGATCTGTCAGACAACGAGGAGCCCAAGACTGAGACCTGTTAATCCAAAATGCACCATTTTGTAAGCTCCCTGCCAATATGCAGACCTTGGTCAAAGTGAAACATTCCACGAGGGTTCGGGCCATGAGAACCTGCCTGCCCAACCGCCTGACTTTAACACATTCTGCTGAGAAAAAGTCCAAGGAACATCATTATTACATTCTGTGGGAACAAGGCCCCAACTGCCTCATTGTGGGAACGTCTTCTCAACATCTTCCCTGGCAGCACGCCATACTGCCCAGACCCCTCCCTGCCATACCTACAAGTATCCCAGCCTGTAAGCAGTGGTGGGCACTGGCATTAAGCTGGTCCTCCACCTCGGCAGGTTTACCTGGACATAAATACCTGCATTTGCTGTTGAGCCGCCCTCTCGCTCTATGTGTGTCTTTAACCCTCACCTTCCCTTGGAAACCTAACAAGAAGCAGGAGCCAGGAAGGTAGGAGGAAGACAGAAGCCCATGGTGTTAAAAACAGCCACAGGAATTATGTAGAACAGTGATTCTCAAAGTGAGGTCCACAAACTCTCGGGGCTCCCATGACCCTTGTAGGAGGTCCACACAAGCCAAAATATCTCTATATGGATACTAAGGTGTTATTTGTTGATTTCATTCTCATGAGCACATGAATGCAGAATGGAGATTTCCGGAGGCTACCGGAAAGGTGATATTGCAACAAACTGGAGAAACAACATCATGAAATTTCTCCATTTTAATTTCTAATAAATATCAATGTTTATAAGCAAAATGGTTTTTTTGGTGGGGTGGTTTTCAACAATGTAAGGATAAACAGATCCTGTGATCAAAGAGTGAGAACACAGCCATAGAGAGCTTTACAAAGGGCATCAGTATTAATGTCAAATGTTACTGAGGCCTCGAGGGAACTAACCAGTCAGAAGCAACCATCGAATTTAGTAATGGACTTCACTCACTTGGTGAAAGCTGTTCCGTGTCATGGTGGCAGAGACACAGCACAGTGGCTGAGAGTGAGCAGGAGCTGTGGAAGTTGAATAATGCCTGAAGGGACCATTCTTTCTGTGAGTATCCAAACCAACTCATGGTAGCATGAACCCATTTCGTCTTCTACTACCCTTGGTAAAAAACGAATGGCTATCACTGAGGGCATTAACTGGATATTTCGTGCACCACTGGGCGCTGAGTGCCACAAGGTCTTTAGTTCTATTTAGCCACCCCTTTTCCAAAGCCCAATACCTGAAGCATCTCAGCGAAATGCCATTAAGATGTTTGTCACACAGGTAGTCATGGCAACGGTATGTTAGCCTGTGCTCTGTTTTCAGCCTTTTGTTGTTAACAGGTCAACAAGGAGGGCAGGGGGTCTCTTCTGCACAATCTTAAATGGGATTTGTCGAGCCAAAATCCAAAACACAAGGAAACATCTTAGTAATCCTGATTTGCTTAAGGAAATTAACATTCTCTGTATCGCCCTTTGGACTTAATCTTTGATTAGGTCAAGGGTGGTTATGTGTGCAGAAAAGGATGTAGGAGGCCTGAGACTGCTGTCCTTAGAAAGATCTGCTTATAAGGTTGTCCTTTGACTGCTCTCTGGAAACTTGGATTTTGTGAGAGTTTCCAGCATTCACTAACTAAGAAGAATGGTACACTGTGATAAAACTCTTCGCACAAAGAACAGTCTATGCTGAACACTTGCTTCCTTCCTTAGAGTTTCGGATTTGGGTACATGATAGGCAGAAAGTACCTAGGCAACCAGACCTCAGCAAAGACCTCGGGTGCTGCTTTTCTAATGAGCTTCCCTGGTCTACATTTCACAATGCTGTTACCATAGGATGCAAAAGCTGGCACCCACCCTTGGACGACTGCAGTGGGAGGGGATTCCTGGAAGCTTGTGCCAGCGATCTATAGACTTTGCTCTGTGAGCCTGTTCTCTTTGCTGATTTTGCTTTACATCTTTTGTTATGATAATTCACAGCTGCAGGTAAGCCTGTGTGCTGAATCCCTTGAGTTCTTATAGAGAATAAGTGAATCTGGGGGTAGTTTTGAGGACCCTGCAACACAGTTTATCACTGAGTATGGGACAATGCAAGAAAGAGTGGCCTTCAGAATGTGTGCAGGAGCTACCAGAAGACTATTTCTTACACTCAATGGATTATGTAAGGATATAAGAACTGGGGATGTCAAAGCCCTGCTGCCACCACCAGTGAGGAACTCAGAGGTGCCAGGTGTCCTTTTCTGAAGCTGGGAGAGGAAAGCAGCACCATAGGAACCACTGTGAAAGGACATTCCTGTACCTAGACAGCTCCCATTACATGGGGCATATGGAAAAACAGTCCATGGAGGCCTGTGAAGTCTCAAGTCTTAGGTTTTTAAAAAAGAAGCATCTACCTTAAGAGAGGGAAGGATAAACCATAGAAAGTCCAATCCTTATCAACAAGAGAAAAAGGGAAGAAGAAAAGTTTGGATTTTATAAAAATTGACCAACTACAGACGAGATAATGAAGACATCCATCTTTCTGGAATTCTTTTGTAAAGACTGAAATATCTAGTCAATAACTTTCCAGTGACAAAAGAGGTTACACCAGTAGTCCTTCCATTCAGTTCATACTTTTCATATGGATGAACATAATTTATAACTTCTCCATAAATTAGAACTTCTCCAATTTTGCCGGATATCCGGAATCCACTCAGTAACACCACTCTGAATTCCTTCCTGTACCTCAAAGACAGAAATGAAAGAACCTGGCTCATTAATTTGAAAAAATAATGAAACCTGTTCCTTTCCCTAGCTGAGTTTTCCATGAAAATCCTCAATAGAATCTGTCCTACACACTCTCCTACCCCAAAGCCTAAGACAAAACTAATAAGAGCTGTCTCTTTCAAGGACTCGGACAATCCTTATTACATTATTCTACTTCCTTATTGCAGATGACTACAACAATTTTTATGGTAGAAAACAGTTAAATTTCCTCAGCTACAAAAAGAATGCATCTTATGGGACCATGCAAAGGCTATAAGTAGCTACTATCTAATCAATATAAATTTGAATTGGGCCAGCCACTTGTCACTCCTATATATGCATGTACACACACACACACACATGCACACATACAAAGTCAATTTTCATTATTGACATTCCGTATTTGCAAATTTGGCTCCTTACTAACCCTTATTTTTAACCCCCAAATCAATACCTGTGGAACATCTGAAGTCATTTTTGTACATGGGCAGAGCAGCAAAAAAATGTGAATCATCCAAACTGAGGTCAAAAAAGGCAGTGCCCTCACTTCCTGTCCAGCTCTGTAAGCAAGGGTCCTTCTGTGGTCTGCTCAGTTCCATGCTTTTCCTATTTTTGTTCATTTTGAGACTAACTTTGCTGTTTGTGTTAGATAAACTTTGCTCAGGCATGAGCTATGCAGTGTTGTCAGCTGTGAATTCAATGTTAATGAATCAATAATCTATATTAAATAGAGTATCTTTATACAGAAGTACACATAAAATAAATTATATATTGATCAGTTGATGAAAACTTTGCAAACAAAGACTAAGAGAAACCTATCTCTGCAGTTTCCCTAGGAGCAATGCTTCAGTATGTGTTAATTCATTGGAATATAACTGCCAGGAGTAATAGAAATTGTATGTATTATATAAACATACACACACGTGTTTGTGTGTGTGTGTGTGTGTATGTTTGCATGTTTGTGTGCAGATAGATTGGCAAGGAGAATTAGAACCATAATTTTGAGAGAAAGAAATTAACAAAATTCAGAATGTTTTTTACTCTGACATTTTTTTTCACAGAGAGACTGTGGAATGGAATGACTCTCCAGAGCTGCAGATTGAAGGCATATTTTCATCTGACTTTGGTGATTATGTTTCCAATCTCTCTGGGAATAAGGTGTGTTTGGGGTGAGGATGGGCAGATGTAGAACTGGCTAAACTACTCAGTCATACAGAGTTGCATCTTACCTAAAACTCAGCCATTGCCATTCCCCTAAGGGAATCTCTGACTTCAGTTTGAGTGTTCAGTGAAGCCTCATATAAAAAGGGCTCAATCTCTAACGTCTACATGGAAGCAGAATGCACCTAGCATCAAATTATTCCTAAAAAGTCTCTTTAAACCAAAACCTCCCTTAAAGATGGTAAAGTTCTGTATTGCAATATATTTGGCACAGCTGGCTTTTCCTTCAGCATTGCAACAGATTACTGCTGTTTCTGCTGAGCCCCAGTCGAAGATCTTGAGTTTAAAGTACCAAGTTGTAAAACAGTTAAACAACTACACACACACACACACACACACACACACACACACACACACACACATGCAGAGCATCTTGTCTCTAAGGACAAGAATGAAAAGAGTCTCAAAGAAAGGGATCAACAGAGGGGCTCTGAGACTCACGTGGCCTCTTGCTGGGCAGGGACACATTGAGTGGACAGATGAATTGAGGCACCTGTGTTTTCCTCATTGTACACAATGGTGTCCCCCACTCTGGGATAGACGCATACACACTGACTGTGAAAGCTAAATGTGCACAGTCCTAAATCAAGATCAGTTATGTGGAGGTGAGGATGATTGTAAACTTCTCTATTTGATGGCTATAAATATTTGAATAAAAATATTAGAATGCCCCACATTTTAAGTAACCTGATGTGTGAGATGTCTTCTGGCACGTCGAAAGGAAAGTCCATGATAACAATGACTGTGAAGGCAACATCAAGAAAGGACTCAACTTCCTGAGCATGTGCGACATGACTGACGTGGACATATGTGCTTTCCATTTCACGTAAATCTCATCACAATGCTGTCCTGTTATCTATTACTAGCCCCATTTTACAGACAAGAAAAATGAGACACAGAAACAAGAAGCCACCCATCCCACAGCACACAGTGAGGGAGTGGTGAAGGCAGAATTTACAGGTGGGCTTTCTGGCCCCTGGGCCCATGCTTTTAATAACTACACTAAAATGAACATCGTGATAATGACATCATTTGAAGGAAGCATATGCTGATAATAAAGACAACAAAGGGGGAGAGTAAATAGAGTAAGGAATAAAAATAAAATTGTCAGACCCTCAACTTTGCTAAGAAACCTATATAAATGGAAAGCTTTGGGAAGCCTGCTGCCACATTTATTGCAGCTTTTATGGCCTGGAGAATGCTGCCTACTGCATTATTTTCTATGTAAATGATGCTTAACAGTTTGAGAGCTTTTCACCGTTTTGAAAATATAATTAAAACCGTGGACCCCATCCAGAGGGAAAAAATGCACACAACCACAACTTTTCAGAAAAAAAAAAAAAAGAGAAAATTGACTCCATAATGCTTATCAGTGAAACTGCAGAAGTCAGCCTACAGGGTAATTATTTCTGTTCTAAAACTGTTCATAATATTTTTCTTTCAGATCTCAATGGCGGGAACACCTTCATGGCCCCTTTATAGCTGGTATGTTTTCTTCTTATGGACAATGAGAAACATGTAATAAACTGTGTTTCCTTCTCGCTAGGAAACCCTGAGTTAAAGCTTTACTTCCCTCTCAGGAACCATCAAAGAGCCATAATCTGTACACCCTGGTGCAACATTTCCCCTGGATTTGATCCCCTTTCAATTGTTTTAGCCTTATTTTACATTTCTTAAATCTATTTCTCTATGTTGCCATGTGTATTATCAAATGCTATTTCAGATGCCAACCATGAGCTAAAGCATATGTTGGAATTATTAAGAGAAACAGAGGGATATACTTATGTAAAATAACACATATAAATGCAATGCTGATTTTTTTTCCTTAAGAAGTCTTTAACAATTGCTTCGGAGGAATCTGCTTTTCACTGAAGCTTCAATATTTTCAGATCCTTTAATACCAGGTGTCAAACTTATTCACTGGGATGAATTATAGAAAGTTGCACCACTTTCTTCTGCCTCATTTATTCTCATTGTAAATATGAGAATTTTAAAAAGTCTTCCTAATTCTTGCTTTATGATGGATTCTATACAAACAATTGAGGTGCTGTTCACTAAACTACTGGAAACATGGGGAAGTGAGCTAAGGAGATAGGAACTATGAAATGACCTGTTTTAAGAAAATATTATATGGGAAAATCAGATCTATGTCTCTAAGTCAAATGTATAATATATACATATATACATACACATATGCATATACATATGCATGTGTGTATATATGTGTTTGCGACTTTTCTCCTCACCTCTATTAATCACACTCATCCTAATTCATATTAAGGATGATCATTTCCTGTTCTCTCCACCATGGCCACCTGGTCCAAGCCACCATCTTCATGCACCTGGATACCTGCCATAACCTCAGCTGACCTTTCCTGTGTCCATTCTTGTTCCTTTGGGCCCAGTCTCCTCGCTCATAGCAGCAGAATGAGTCTATTAAAAAGTGAAACAATTTCTGTCACTTCCTGGCTCAAAAGTCTCCAATAGTTTCCCCATGGATTGGAATAAAATGTAGGTTCTAACCATGGGGTACCATGTAAGTTTAGGTTCACCTGTAAGTCACAGGAAAAAAAAATATATATATATATATGTATATATCACACACACACGCACGTTAAACAAAATACAAGTTAATTTTTCTCTTGTGTTCATAAAGTCCAGAAGCCATCAGCCAAGGCTGGGGGGGCAGTGTAGCTGCAGTGGATACCCAGGCTTCACTTCTCTTGCTATTCCACTGTGCAGTTTCCATTTCCAAGGAACACCTCATGGTCTAAAATGGCTGCTAGAGCTCCTGTCATTACTAATGGTTCGTTTTCCAGCCATGACATAGGGACAAAGAAAGGTGACTTCCTCTACTGAAGTTCACTTCCTGAAATTTACAGGTGCCACCCCCTTTTACATACTAAATCTTAGAACCTAGCCGGGCGTGGTGGTGCGTGCCTGTAATCCCAGCACTTTGGGAGGCCAAGGCAGGCGGATCACAAGGTCAGGAGATCGAGACCATCCTGGCTAACACGGTGAAACCCCGTCTCTACTAAAATACAAAAAATTAGCCAGACGTGGTGGCAGGCGTCTGTAGTCCCAGTTACTCGGGAGGATAAGGCAGGAGAATGGCGTGAACCTGGGAGGCGGAGCTTGCAGTGAGGCGAGATAGCGCCACTAAACTCCAGCCTGAGCGACAGAGTGAGACTCCGTCTCAAAAAAAAAAAAAAAAAAAAATCTTAGGACCCAGTCACAGAGCCACACCCTGCTGCAGAAGAGGCTGCCAAAGGCAGTCCTTATTCTGGGTGATCAAGTGCCCAGGAAAACATCAGGAGTTTGCTCCTGAGGAAGAGAAAGGAGAGTGGATGCCAGGGCCAGCTCCAATCTGAGACACACGTGGCCTGCCTGGACCACATGGTCAGCTTCAGGACTCTGCCCACCTCCCTGATGCATCCCCGACCCCTTTCGCACCCTCACTCAGTTCCAGCCACATGGCCGTCTCGCCATTGTTCTTCTTTCCAGGCACCCAGCTAATTCCAGCCTCCGGGCTTTTGCACACTAGTTGTTCCCTTGCCTGGACAGCTCCTCCCCAGGTATTCTCTGGCCTCTTCCCTCACTTCACTCAAGTATCAGCTCCCAAGTAAACCTCCTTGGGGAAGCTTCTCTGCCCACTCCACCACCACCAGGCACCCAGCTAATTCCAGCCTCCGGGCTTTTGCACACTAGTTGTTCCCTTGCCTGGACAGCTCCTCCCCAGGTATTCTCTGGCCTCTTCCCTCACTTCACTCAAGTATCAGCTCCCAAGTAAACCTCCTTGGGGAAGCTTCTCTGCCCACTCCACCACCAATAGCCCCCGTCACTCTGTCTCCTCACCTAGTTTTATTCCGCACCCTGATACTGGAGATCTGTTTTGCAATTGAAATAAAAGGAATAAAAGAGAAGATATCTGCTACCCCCACCCTCACCTCTGCCTAACTGGAAGCCTTGAAAGAAAATGGCAGTATTTAAAAAACATGTTTTATAAGTTCCATCTGGCTCCTGAAGGAACCTGCAGGCTCAAGGTGAGTGGATATCCCAGGAGTTCAGGCTGCACATGACTTCTGAAAAGCAAAAACTTTTTTTTTATCACTGAAATTGGCAGTATGTCCTTCCTAGTGATTTTCCAGCTGAGCTGAAAGAGCTTTAGGCAGGAGGCAGCTGGATAAAAAGTGCTTAGAAGATCTGTCTGTAAGCGGGCTAAGGTAGAGCTCTCCGCATTGAGAGCAGAGACCTAAGAAGACCCCGCACCTTACGGTAAGTTTAACCAACAGGCGGTCTCGCTACTGCGCTCGGAGCCCAGCCCTGCGGACACAGCTCAGGCGCGCGCGGGAAACAGGCAAATGACATTCTCCTAGCGCTCCTGCTCTCAGGCGCCCTGGAACCCTGGACAGAGGCGCAGCCGCCTTCCCAGCCTTAGGTGAGACTTGGCACGCCATCCACGCAACCACGCGTGCCAGTAACCGCGCAGAAGGGCGCGCGGGTCGCTCTCCCCGGACCTGGAAGCCTCCCCCTCCGCTACTCATGTGGGTCGGCTTGATTCTACCTGGGCCCCACGTAGGCATGATGATAATGGCAGTGGTTAACAGCTGCTAAGCTTTTCGTGTGCTTCAGGCGCTGTGCTATGTGCCTAATGTACCCACTAAATTCCCTCTGAGATGAAGTAATTCGCGCTGTAGAGATGGGGGAGTGGGGTGAAAGGCCTTCTGGAAAGCCCAGTTCTGTTCTACATTCTTGTACCGACTCGCCAGAGACCCCCCAGCCCCTCCTTGCAATCCTCAAACCACATCGGACCGGATCTCGATCTCAGGTGTCTGTTGAGATAATCGCACATTTCTGCCAACCTGGGGCCCCCTGCGAGCTTCGCTGTGAACACCTGCTCCCCCGTGGGCACAGCCTGGCTCTCAGGACCACAGGCTAGAAGGGAAACAGGTGCAGGGGGACTGGCTCCTCCCTGGGACCCTCCCAATCTTAGTTTAACTGAACTAGAGTGAGGGAGGCATGGAGCTCCATTGTTGGGGAAAAAGGAGTGCAAAGAACCGGGCTCCCCCATCCTCCTAGTCCTGTCAAGTCCTAGGGAGGGGAAAAGCAAGGGACACGACACCTCCACCACATCCCCCCTGGCGCCAGATCTGCACGTGGTCCGCGTGAGGTCCAGGTAGGCGATACAGTCCGCGGAGCCCCACAGTGTCCGCCTATCCAGCGCCGCCGCGGGATCCAAACCCCACGTTTACTGCGTCCCCTCACTCCGCACCCAGAGAGGCCACGCCACAGATGCCCTCTCCGCCCAGTCTCACCTGTGCCGGGGAAGGCGCCAAGCACCCGCCCCAGCGCGCCGCACCTGCCGGGGCCGCGATCTCCCAGCTCATCGAGTCCCTCGCGCCCGTGGCCCTTTGTGCCAGGCGGGCTGCGTCCCCTCGAGTCGTCTCCACCGCGGCTCCAGCTCCCGCCACTGCCCGGGCTGGAGACCTGACAACTTTTCTGAACCGCCGTCTCCATCTCGCACCCTTCCCGGGCTCCAGGACCGTCCCCTGTGCGCCCTCATCTGCACCGTCGCCGTCCGACTCCGGAGCCGGAGACCGGCCTGGGCGCAGGAGGAGAGAGAGCGCGGGCGGCGGGGAGGGGAAATCTCTCCGGGACTGCTGCTGGCGGAGCCGGGGACGGAGAGGAGATGGGGCCGCACTTACCCGGAGCTGGAACTGCCTGTCCGCGTGGACCCGCTCCTCTGGCACGGAAACTCCGTGTCTGCAGACTCCCTCAGCCCTGGAGACTTCTGCCGGGAACCCGGGACACCGAGAGGGGCCCAGCCCTTCCCCACCTCTCTCCTGACCGTTACTCCGGACAGGTAGGGTCTGCGCTCCTCTTCCTCTCTAAATTGCGGGTCACATTTGCGGATGCCAGGGGAGCTCGTGCCTTCGGAAATTAAAAATCCTATCCAGTTGATTCGGAACCATCTTCCGGATACACGGAGAGGAAAAAGAGCAGCGTGCACGACCGTGTGAACAAGGGATACACAAGTGTTTGTATAAACGGACGTGTACCTGTGTTTATAAATGTGTAGGGGAAAACACTCAAACATGCGGAAACACACCAGAAACTCATCACTGAAGAAAGGGTAATCGCTCAGTTTACCCTTATTGCCTCATTGAGTTTTTAACACGATAAGCCTGTGCTAACTATTTAGGTGGAAGTGCCCCCTTTTCCCCGCAGAATTGTTCCCGCAACGGCAGGTTTTTAGTTGGTTTGGTTTGGGCTTTGCACCATGGGGCAGGAGAAATCCAAACTTTCCGTCTTCCCCCAGCCTTTCCCGCTGATTTGCACCCAGCGCGCTCTCTCTTCTTTCATGGAAGTTGCCTCTACCAGGGCCCAACCAGATGATTTCAGTTCTGGCCTGATCTGCAGGGGGTGGGAGTCAGAGCCTGACCGCTCTCCTGACCCTGCCTGCAGTGAATGAACAGCATTCAGACACCAGCCTCTTCCCTCCCCAAACCCCAGGGCAGCACCCTCTGCGTCTGCCCACCCTGGAGGCAGGGCCCAGTCCCCCCCACACACACACCTAGGGCTGGCTCGGTGCAACCTCAGAAAGGAAGCCTGCTTGCTCGCAAGGTGTCACAGTAGTCTCCTTCAGTGGAGCACCCCAGGGCGTCCTGAGCCAGGAAAGAATTTCAAAAGAAATAGAATAAGGAAAAACTCCTGTGATTAAATGACAATGAAAGAGATAGATGCTAGCAATGAAGAATCAATTTTTGTCTCCAAAATTGGGCACAGGAAGATAACCCTCAACAGGACTAGGAGAGGAGGGGTGGGCTTGGACAACCCACTCATCCTGGGAGTGTGCCCCTGATACAGCGTATTGGAGAGTTCTAGTCCCAGGAGGAGCTTGACACCAGCTCACTTTTTTTTTTCCTTAAGAGCTATTTTTTTTATTATACTTTAAGTTTTAGGGTACATGTGCACAACGTGCAGGTTATATATGTATACATGTGCCATGTTGGTGTGCTGAACCCATTAACTCGCCATTCTAAGTTAGTTCCATTTGCCTGCAGTGGGGAGAAGGCAGCTGTGGTAACATCTCAGCCAGGCCAAGGTGGGACAGGAATAGCACTGGGTAGTCACAGGGTGGAAAGACCCAAACAACAGCTGAAACAAGAACTACACAAAGAAACCCAGGATAACTGAAAACCCAAAATACGGAGCAAAAACAGCCAAAACCCCAGTCAGGGTGACAGGCCCATGACTCTTCCAGGCAAACCCAATTAAGGGAGAAAGGGGGCATTCATGGGGAGTCCCTGAAATCCCCTCTGTATTAGTCTGATCGCACACTGCTAATACAGACATTTCTGAAGCTGGGAAATTTGTAAAGCAAAGATGTTTAATGAACTCAAAGTTCCACATGGCTGGGGAGGCCTCATAATCATGGCAAAAGGCAAGGAGGAGCAAAGGCATGTCTTACATGGTTGCAGGCAAGAGTGCACGTGCAGGGGAACTCCCGTTTATAAAACCATCAGATCTCATGAGACTTATTCACTACCATGAAAACAGTGTGGGGGAAACTACCTCCATGATTCAATTATGTCCACCTGGCCCCACCCTTGACATGTGGGGATAATTACAATTCAAAGTGAGATTTGGGTGGGACACAGCCAAACCATATAATTCTCTTTTTCTGGAGCACCTAATGATTGTTCTACCCCCTAATTAAAGAAACACCCATTAAATCGGAATGCTGGGTGGTCACAGGAGAAGAGGGAAAATATGAAGCAGCAATTTCACATAACTGCAGGAAAGGAGCTGTTAGAATTAGTGACAAGAACAAAGACAAGCCTGGGCTGATAAGACCCCAACAAACAAGGTAGGGGGCAAAGCTGGTTGAGACCAGCTGGATCTGATATGGTGATGGACTTGACTTATGCCCTACCCGACCTAACTGTACTCTCGTCACCATCCAAAATCACACACCCACCAGCACCAATGTATATTTAGTACATAAATGGGTGGCATCCCAATTCTAAGATATCCCTACTTGTTTTCTTAGAAAATATCATGATTATTCCCCTAATTAGAAGAGCCTATAAAATTAGACACCCAAATTCTGCCACGTTCTTCTCACTCTCCCAAGCACGCCTGCACTTCTCTCTTCTGTGTGTACTTTTGCTTGACAGTAAAAGCTTCTTGCCTTTTGCTTTATTCTGATTTGTCATCGAATTCTTTCTCTCCATGGTGTCAAGAACCTGGACACTGCTGGGGCTAGGGTCCCACTGGCTTCCAGATACCCTCCTGAGCCCTCTGGCAACAAAAGGGTCACTGAAAAATGAGGGGTTCAACAGGTCTGCATAGAAAAAAAAAAAACTGCTGAGAATTTCCAAGACTCCTTTGATTTGCGTAGCCTACACATGACCTTAGGAAGCAGCTACAGTTACAAAGCAGATGGAGACTCTCTGGTCTTCCTAAAGCAGCAGAAATATGTTATTTTCTCTCTCTCCTTCCCTCCCTTTCTCTGACACACACACACACAAACACATACACACACTTACACGCTTAAATGTTGCTCTCCTTCTCAGTGCACTGAGGAATAAAACATAGCCCATTATTTCCAACCGATGGATTGGGGCCTCATCCACCCTTCCTTTCTCCTAGAAAAGAATATGAACCACGAAGCTGTAAAGTTGTGCCCAGAGTTCCCCAGCTCTCCTTCCTCTGCATTTACTTGCTGATTATCACTTGATCTTAGCCAAAAGGCCGAGAAGCGATATGTGCCGATTATCTATCTCTTAGGTCCCCCTGCCCAGCCCCCATGTGAGTTCCCTGGAGTGTGACTAGATGGAGCGGTGCTTTCACAGTCTCTCCAGTGGGGCCGGGCACAGTGTGCATCACAGGACCGTTTGTTGCATGAATGACTCCTGTGAAGCCTTACAGTGTTAGCCTCATTTTAACAATGGAGGCACCGAAAGGCAGACATGTCAAATTAAAGTCATCTACCTTGCAATATTAGTAGTATCTTTAGACCTGCAGATGCTCTTCTAGGCATAATACTTGAAGTAACTTATTTAATCCTTATGAAAACCCTAAAAGTATGTACTCTCGTAATACCAATTTTACACACAAGAAAACAGATGCTTAAAGCAAATGCTTAAAGAAGTCCAGTTAGGTGGGGCGCGGTGGCTCACGCCTGTAATCCCAGCACTTTGGGAGGCTGAGGCAGGAGGATCATGAGGTCAGGAGATCGAGACCATCCTGGCTAACACAGTGAAAACCCATCTTTACTAAAAATCCAAAAAAAAATATTAGCCGGACTTGGTGGCGGGCGCCTGTAGTCCCAGCTACTCAGGAGGCTGAGGCAGGAGAATGGTGTGAACCCAGGAGGCGGAGCTTGCAGTGAGCCGAGATGGCACCACTGCACTCCAGCCTGGGTGACAGAGCGAGACTCCGTCTCAAAAAAAAAAAAAAAGAAGTCCAGTTACTTACTTGCTCAAGGCCACACAGTTGGTAGGTGATGGAGCTGAGACTTGAACTCAGATAGTCTAGTTTCAGAACTCACATTTACTAGATGATTTATTTATTTATTTATTTTACTTACTTATTTGAGATGAGGCCTCACTCTCTTGCCCCAGCTGGAGTGCAGTGGCAAATCATAGCTCAATGAAGCCCTGATCTGGGCTCAAGTGATCCTCCCACCCAACCCTCTCAAAGTAGCTGGAACTACAGGTGGGCACCGCCTTGCCTAGCTACTGTTTTATTTTTTATTTTTAGCAGAGATGAGTGTGGGAGAGAATGTTGTCCAGGCTGGACAATTTTTTTCCCCTCAGCTTTATTGAGGTAAAATTGAAAAATAAAAATTGTATATATTTATGGTATACAGCAGAATGTTTTGATAGAGGTATACATTGTGAAATGATTACCACAATCAAGCCAATTAACATATCCATCTCCTAGCCTAGTTACCATTGGGGAGGGCTTTGGTAACATTTAAGATCTACTGTCTTAGCAAATTTTACCTACACAGTCCACGATTGTTAACTATAGTCACCATGATGTCTAACAGAGCTCCAGAGCCTATGCATCCTAACTGAGACTTTCACCCTTTGACCCACATCCCCTGTGACTTCTGCCCCAATAGGCAGCTTGGAGCTCAGGTATTTCTGGAAGTTGGCTCCTACCTGGACTGCAGGACACGTCACTGGTCTCTGTCGACTCCCACTTGTTAGTACATTTCAGTCAAGTTTCACTTGCTTCAATTTTCTACTTAAACAAAGATAAATTAGTTTTTGTAACTTTTACTTAACAAGACAGAAAAGTCCCAGGCCCCTGTGCTGTTCTGGGGTCAATGCTTTCCAGGAAACCAGCCTCTGTGGAAATTGATCTCCCATGAAGGGTAGCAGGAGCCAATGCAGATGCCTCTTACCTTGTGAGATCAACTTGAAGATTGATACCCAAATGCCCATTCTTACCACTTATCCTGGCTCCATCCTGGTCTCTTCATGAACCGTCATGCAATCATCATCAATATAATTTCTTAGCCCATTCTCTCAGTTTCAAGGTCAGCAAATTGTCCATTTAGATGCATTGTGGCTTAATATGGCTTAATAAGATTTGTATTAGATTACAAGTAGAATGAACTCAAATTATGTTACAAAGGGAATTCATTCACCACACTGCTAGTCCCTTTATTCAATTTGTATACCTAACCATAATAGCTAGCACGTATAAGTGCTTATAAACAATGGACACTGTTTCAAGTGGTTTTTACATGTATTAACTCATTTATTATTATTATTTTTATTTATTTATTTATTTTTGAGATGGAGTCTCACTCTGTCACCCAGGCTGGAGTGCAGTGGCGCAATCTTGGCCTACTACAATGTCTGTCTCCTGGGTTCAAGCAATTTTCTGGCCTCAGCATCCCAGGTAGCTGGGATTACAGGCATGCACCACCACATCCAACTAATTTTTGTATTTTTAGTAGGGACAGGGTTTCACCATGTTGGCCAGGCTGGTCTCGAACTCCTGACCTCAAGTGATCCAGCCACCTCGGCCTCCCAAAGTACTTGGATTACAGGCGTGAGCCACTGTTCCTGGCCAGCTCATTTATTATTTGCAACAACCTTATAGCGTTACTATATTTTCTATTTTCTTTAAAGGTAAGGAAATTGAGGCATAGAGGATTAAACAAACTACCTACAAATAAGTCCCAAGACGTTGCCAAAATTGACCCTGTTGAAAACAACTAAGTTAGAATAATCTCTGTTAGAGAACATTGAAATTTAGAGGAAAATTTTCAATTAGTGTATTATTTTGGTACTTGGAATGATGCAACGGTCATTCCTTCATTTTTATAAGAAAATATTCTGACGTATTTTCTTCTATAGATTATTTATTTCTTCTACGCCAAAGCTCAGCCTACATACAGTTGCCAGTGTCCCCTGGGAACACCGGCTGGTGTGTGTGGCTGGCAGGGAAAGAAAAAGGAAGAAAAAAAAAATCAAATTTCCTTGTCTGGACCTTGAGTCCTAGGTTGAGGGAGTAAGCAGATTCTAAATCCTTGTGTGGCAGCAAATTGAGTATATGTTACACCCCTTCATGTCTTCAACAGGAGAGGCAGTATTTAGCCCCCAAGAGGCACTTGATGTCTGATTTATGAGTAAAGGTTGTGGCAGCCTCCAAGGGTGATCTGTCTTCAATAAAGAGTCCATAAATAGTGCTGTCATTTAAAGTAGCAGCCTTAATGGAGCCCAAGAATCTGACCTTTGATCTTTGTGTCATATATGGGTTAGCTGTTAGACTGAAGAGTCCAAGAGAGGGAAGCTCAGGCCAGCTGAAACTAGAACAGCATAGAGGCAAAAAGGAAAGGGATTCTTTTGCTCACCTTCCCTGTGTAATTTATGTTGACCGTAAATCATTAGGTTTGACATGATGTTTATTAAATGGTAATAAAACACTCCATGTGTCAGTCAGGGTTTAATCAGAGAAGCAGCACTTCTATTAGTATTATGAAATCAGGGATATATTTAGAATGAGGGCTTGTAATACTTGGGGGAGAAGGGCAAGTGTTGGAAGGCCCGAGGAAAACCACCACTCAGCCCTCCTCGAACACTAGAGCAAGTTGAGGTTAGGTGGATAAGTGGGAGCTTTCAGGGTGTATGGCGAGTAGGCAGGTCCAGCTGCAGAGTGGGCTATGAAGGGCAGTGCAGGGAAGGTCTGTGGAATGCTGTCCTTTTGAGTTGCTGCTGCTTCTGCAGGTCTGCATTCAGACTTGTGGCAGTCGGCCTGGGCCCTTTGTTGGTCAGGAAATCTGGCAATTGACAAGAAGAGCAGGATAAAGAATAAAGAAAAGACTTGTAAATCCCACTGATACCTTGCTAGCTCTTAGCTCCCACCTGTACCCACAATGATCTTCAGTGATCAGTGACTGTGGCTTCATTTTTACTATCCAAATCACGTCTAAATTTATTTTATTGGCCAATCATCACCTGGAAATAAACAGGACAAGAGATTTAGGGAAATATGATTCTAGCTTAACCAGTTTGACTGAGTGCAAACCTCCTCATCCATTGACAAGGCAATGTTCAGAAATGGGACCATCCTCTTCTTGTGAAGCCCATTTAAAGGATATGTGGAGGATAGCATTCATCTTTGATAGCATAAGGTAAGTGTGTCACATATTTTTGTAACAATAGAAATGATAGCTTTGCATGTAGCTATCTTTTTGCAGAATTCCCATAATGTTCTTGAAAAGTAAGACAAGACCTACCAAAGACTATTCAACTTCAACATAATGGAGAAACTAGGAAGTGAAAATGCTATTAAGTATTTTTTTTAAAAAAAAGATAAAATAAAGGACATGCTCAGGTGCTGCAAGTCATCTGAGAACAACTGGTTTTGCTTACCTTCCTCTCCCCCGACACACACATATGCACAAACACTTCACCTGAGAACAGAACATCATTCCCACTTCCGTATGTCTCAGGCTATCCTTGTGAGAAAGCTGGCGTTTTGAGAAAGGGAGGCTCAGGGAATTGCAGGAGGCACAGGGAATTAATTCTGCTGCCTACTGCCACGTGTTGAGACCTGGGGGAGAAAAAGTGATTGACATTACTTCTGTGTATTGACACTGGGCAGTGGGGAAACATAATAGCTTTTTAAGTGACTACCTCTATTTAGCTTGTAATGAGTGTATCAGTTGAGCTATCATGTAAAAACCATCAAGGATATTTGTAGTTATACTATTAAGACTTAAATATTCTAAGGAAAAAAGAATGCATTGGCTCATAAAACTGAGGTTTAGGGATGATGATAGCTTCAGGTATTGTTTCATCTAGGAGTCAAATCAAATGATCTCTTCTCTATCTTGGTTGTTCTCTTCCCCCATCTACAAATTTTGTTTCTCTTTGCATATTGATTTATTTTCTTCTGTAAGTATTTAGTCCCTCTAATCCTTCCCTTTCTCGTCTTTAAAATGGAAATGTTAAAAATGCATACCTCACAAAATGATTGTGGGGATTCAGTAGATCATGTATGTACAATGCTTAGTAAAGTGGCTAGAATATAGTAAGTGGTCAAAAATATTAGCTATCATCACCATGATCATCATCAATGTCATCATCATGATCATCATCATCACCATTACCATTATCATTACCATCATCATCATCATCATCATCATCATCACCATTATCATCAGGAGCATCATCACCATCATTGTCACTATCATCATCATCACATCATCACCATCATCATCATCACCATACAATTACCATCATCATCATCACCATTATCATCACCATCATTATCACCCAATAAAGGCAAGGCCAATAAGATAAAACATATTATTGTAACACCAAATTAAATATTTATTTTGAGTTTCTAAATGATCTGTTGAAGGCCAAGGAACCACCACAGTTAAAAAGGAAGGGAAAAATATTAATTCAGATCAGAGCAAGAAGAGTGTCACTGGAATGAGCAGATGAGCATCTTCAAATACCTGGAGGGCAGTGATTAACCTTAATAGTAAGCTCTGTGTCTGTTGCTCTCAGGAGAAGAGCCCAGGGACACTGATAAGACACCTGGTTGCAGATCACAGAAATTAGTCAGTGATATGGTTTGGCTTTGCCTCCCCACCCCACCCAAATCTCAGGTTGAATTGTGAGCCCCAGTGTTGGAGGTGGGGCCTGGTGGAAGGTGATTGGATCATGGTGATTGTTTCTAACAGTTTATCACCATCCCCCTAGTGCTATCTTGTGATAGAGTTCTCATAAGATCTCGTTTGAAAGTGTGTAGCACTTCTCTCTTTGCTCTCTTTCTCTCTCCTGCTGGCCATGTGAAGATGTGCTTGCTTCCCCTTTGCCTTCTGCCATAATTGTAAGTTTCCTGAGGCTCCCCAGAAGCAGAAGCCTGTACAACCCCCAGAACTATGAGCTGATTAAACCTCTTTTCTTTATAAGTTACCCAGTTTCAGGTATATCTTTATAGCAATGTGAGAATAGACTAAGACAGTCACTAAAAATAATCAGCACTAACAGTAGAAAAGAGAGAGATTTAAAAAAAAAAGAAAAAGAAGGCCAGGTGCAGTGGCTCACATCTGTAATCCCAGCACTTTAGTAGGCCAAGGCGGGTGGATCACGAGGTCAGGAGATCGAGACCAGCCTGGCCAACATAATGAAACCTCATCTCTACTGAAAATACAAAAAATTAGCTGGGTATGGTCGTGGGCACCTGTAATCCCAGCTACTCGGCAGGCTGAGGCAGGAGAATCTCTTCAACCCAGGAGGCAGAGGTGACAGTGAGCCGAGATCGTGCCACTGCACTCCAGCCTGGGTAACAAGAGTGAAACTCTGTCTAAAAAAAAAAAAAAAAATAGCTGAAAGTTTCAGGGGTTTCAGATAAGGCTAACACTAGAGTCAGAAGTCAGGTCAACACAACATTCTCCCATTTATTCTATCGAGATGGGGACCAGAAACTACTCCATCTCTGTATTTTATGAGGGTTCTCTGTTCTTGGGGGATAAATGCCCAATTCAAAATCCTCTTTCCTTAAGAGAAAAATATTTAATGCCAACTGAACAAAAGGAATCCTCTCTCTCTCTCTCTCTCCATCTTGCTATCTGTTGTCTACTGATCTTAATGAGGGTGCTAGAAAATATTGCCTGTATTTTATTTTGTGAATTATAGATATAAAATATTTATCCAATATTATGTACTGTCATCAGAATTTCATGTGACAGAGGACATTTTTTTCTTATGAAAGATATGAACTACAAAATAGCAGAATAGAGAAAATTTCCAGGCAAGAAAGGACTCATAGCAACCTCAATATACTCGTCATCATACACATTTTTGTTATCTTCTTCAAAACCTATGGAAGTTTCCAGATGTCCATTGCAGATCAGTGAGTAGAGAAAAACAGACAACTTGTATTAAGAAAAAGTGGGTTTTGGTCTAGGTACTGCCACTTTCTGACTTAACTTGTTTCTCAAATTTCCTTAGTTGCCCTTTATTAAAACTCTTCCTTACCCATCTTCTAGCGTGCGCACAGACACACACACACACACACACACACACACACACACACACACACATATGCAAGAATGCACCCAAGGCTGCCAGCTCATTTCAGGGAGAGAGGCGGCTACATACTCCATATCTATGCAGTTTGTCAAGTACAGAAGAGTTTGAACTCTACAATCTAACTTTGGCCATGGGTGAGATAGAAATTGGGGGAAGATAGTGGTGATTCATTGATTTCATCTGATTCTCTGAAATAGAAAAGGAAAAACTACCAGAATTGCCAACATGATTTTCAGGAAGAAGCACAGAAGTCAGAGTTGAGGAGATTTGTCCCCGAGATGCCAAAATAAAAACTAGAGTTAAAGTAACAAAAACGTATTTATTGTCTTAGTACAGAAACAGGCAAGTTGATGGAAAAGAAATGAATTACCTCTATGAAGAAATTTATTATGATTTGTTGATGTTATTGTTGTTTTCACTAAATGGGTCCTGCCTTACTAACTAAATCATTCTGTAAATGATGGAGAGAATAGAACAGAAGACACCTGGCTTTGTGTGCAGAGCTTGGCATCAAGGAGGACCAGGCAATAGACGTGGCTTCTGATTTTTGGTTGCAAATGGGTTTCCTTTCCTCTGTTAGAGTTTGCACAAGTTGTTCCCTCTTCATATAGCAGAGAGGAGATTCTCATTCTAAAGCCAGCCAGATCAGAGCAATGACTGCACTCCCAGTGGAGAATAGTGTTGGGTTCACACATGACAGGATGTTTCTAGGATTTGCATTCATTTTCTCTCTGAAAGACTATGATCTAGCTTCCTAATCCTCTATAGAGTTTGCAAAGTGTTCTAAAGAAACTTTCCTTCCTTCCTCCCTTCCCTCCCCTCCCCTCCCCTCTCTTTTCTTCTTTCCTCCATCTCCCTGCAAAATGTTCACAGGGTCAAAAGTGCTCAATAATGGTTTACAGGGTAGACTTTTAAGAGAGAGACATCCGGCCGGGCGCGGTGGCTCACGCCTGTAATCCCAGCACTTTGGGAGGCCGAGGCGGGTGGATCATGAGGTCAAGAGATCGAGACCATCCTGGCTAACAAGGTGAAACCCCGTCTCTACTAAAAATACAAAAAATTAGCCGGGTGCGGTGGCGGGCGCCTGTAGTCCCAGCTACTCGGGAGGCTGAGGCAGGAGAATGGTGTGAACCCGGGAAGCGGAGCTTGCAGTGAGCCGAGATTGCGCCACTGCAGTCCGCAGTCCGGCCTGGGCGACAGAGCGAGACTCCGTCTCACAAAAAAAAAAAAAAAAAAAAAAAAAAAAAAAAAAAAGAGAGAGACATCCATATTGGCTAAACTAACTAAGCACCAACTCTGTGCTGAGCGCTGCTTTAAGAGTCGTACTTTCATCGTCTTATTTAACTACAACAACCTCTCATTCTTATTTAACAACAATGACCTTCCTCATTCCCGTTTTAGAGATGAGGAAAGTAAAGCTTGGTGCTCAAGAGCTTGTTCGATGTATACTTAGAGAGATAGTGGAAGGGCTGGGATCTAAATCAGACAGGTCCGGCTCCAGGTCCCAAGTGCCTGAGACACCATAGCATGAGATGAAGTGCTAAGATCACTTCAAGCATGATGCAGGGAGGGATTGGAGGAAAGTGATGTGAGTTACATTTGCACCACAGATGACTTGCCTGTGGTGGATTACTGTGCCAGGGAGATTGTTTTCCTCTGTGCTGCCTCACTACCAGGTGGTTATTAGAGTTCCAAATGATAAAGAGAAAGAAATCACTCTAGCAGCCAATCACGCACATTCATATGGAAACATTCCCTGTGATTCAGTGGTGCATTAGTAATGCCTGTAAACCAGAGGAAATAAAACTCAAAAAGTCTCACATGGCATGGAGCATTAGGAGTTTCAATATCAAGAAGTATTATGGGGCCGGGCATGGTGGCTCACGCCTGTAATCCCAGCACTTTGGGAGGCCAAGGTGGGTGGATCATTTGAGGTCAGGAGTTCAAGACCAGCCTGGCCAACATGGTGAAACTCTGTCTCTACTAAAAATACAAAAATTAGCCAGGCAGTAGTGGCATGAATGTAATCCCAGCACTTTGGGAGGCCGAGACAGGTGGGTCATTTGAGGTCAGGAGTTCGAGACCAGCCTGGCCAACATGGTGAAACCCTGTCTCTACTAAAAATACAAAAATTATCCAGGCAGTAGTGGCGTGACTGTAATCCCAGCTACTCGGGAGGCTGAGGCAGGAGAATCACTTGAGCCTGGGAGGTGGAGGTTGTGGTGAGCTGAGATCGGACCGCTGCACTCCAGTCTGGGTGACAGAGTGAGACCCTGTCTACAAAAATAAAAAAAGTAAAAATAAGAAGTATCACAGTAGGGCAGTTTGAAAACAGGCTAATTTATAACAGCTCAAAAGTGTCAAATTTGTTCAGATTCTTTCTGTGCTTTTGCTTTGCTGTCTTCATCTTATTGACTAGGTCCTTAGGCTGGATCCCTTACAGTCAGCAGAATGGTTGCTCATGTTCCGGGGATTTTGTCAAAACTGGACAGGCGTTCTAAGTGTCTCCTTTTTTCAGTAAGAGAACTTTTTTAAAGGAAATTCCCAGCAGATGTTCCTTTGCATCTGATTGTCCAGAACCAGGTCTCATGCCCAACAATCACTGGCAAGGGTAGAATCTGGGTTCTACCTTTTCTGGGTTCTACCTTTTCTGGGTTTACCCCTGCGCCAAGGATGGAGTCACCTTCCATGAAGGGTGAATGGACTTTGGTTAAGAAGCCAATTGTCCTGCCTTGTGAGTTAAATAACTTTCAAGCAAAGTGTAGAACTATTCGGGAGTTCACCTTCGGCTGTCTTTCCCTTGTCTCTGTGACATGGTCTGCGGTCCCTAAAACACACAGCTGAGGCACATTTTACACACAAGCAGAACCTGCCCAGTGAGCTGCTGCTAGCAGCCCAAGTGAGTTCTCAAAAGGCCGAATTATTTCTTTTACCCAGACCAGATCCACCTGGGACAGTGAAAAATTTACTTATCACTCAAGTTGCCACTGCTGTTTTTTAAAAAGACCTACTGGGAACACTTCAAAATCCTTTTCTGTTGGTGTCTATTGAGAAACCCGGTGATTACTCCTCAATTTCGGTAGTTCTGCCTGGATTTACACTACAGATAATTGGGAAGAACATGTTTTTATTGAGTGGAATTTTGGTGCCAATCTACTCTGTAGACGCTCACCTGGGACCTCTCTGCTTGTGTGTGGTGCATGTTATGTCTCCGGCAGAACATCTTTGGGTTTTGGATTGTAATCAAGGAATGTCTAGGCACATGTGTTTTTTTCTTCTGTAAAAGTTTTTCATCTTTATTTCCTTTTTTGGTGGAGAAAAGGAGCTTGCTAGGTTGCTGAGACCACATGTGCTTTTTGTTTTTTTGTTGCTTAGTTTTTTTATTTTTATTTATTTATTTACTTTTGAGACGAAGTCTTACTCTGATGCCCAGGCTGGAGTGCAGTGGCATGCTCTTGATTCATTGCAACCTCTGCCTTCTGGGTTCAAGTGATTCTCCTGCCTCAGCCTCCCAAGTAGCTGGGATTACTGGCGTGCACGACCATGCCTGGCTAATTTTTGTATTTTTAGTAGACACAGGGTTTCACCATGTTGTCCAGGTCTCGAACTCCTAACCTCAGGTGATCTGGCTGCCTCGTGAGTGGAATTCTGGTGCCAATCTACTCTGTAGACGCTCACCTGGGACCTCTCTGCTTGTGTGTCGTGCATGTTATGTCTCCGGCAGAACATCTTTGGGTTTTGGATTGTAATCAAGGAATGTCTAGGCACATGTGTTTTGTTCTTCTTTAAAAATTTTTCATCTTTATTTCCTTTTTTGGTGGAGAAAAGGAGCTTGCTATGTTGCTGAGACCACATGTGCTTTTTCTTTTTTTGTTGTCTATTTTTATTTTTATTTATTTATTTTTGAGACAAAGTCTTACTCTGATGCCCAGGCTGGAGTGCAGTGGCATGCTCTTGACTCATTGCAACCTCTGGCTTCCGGGTTCAAGCGATTCTCCTGCCTCAGCCTCCTGAGTAGCTGGGATTACTGGCGTACACACCTGGCTAATTTTTGTATTTTTAGTAGACACAGGGTTTCACCATGTTGGCCAGGCTGTTCTCGAACTCCTGACCTCAGGTGATCCACTGGCCTTGGCCACCGCGCCCAACCCACATGTATTTTTTCTATCAACAACTTTTAAAAAGGGAGAGAAGGTTGTAACAGGATCGCTAAGTACTGGATCTGCTTGTGCCTTGTGACTGCAGCCCTTCAATGAAAAGGGCTGATGCATTTGATTATGGAATCATCAGGCGTTGTGCTGGAGAAACTAGTTTAAAAACCTAAACATGTGAGTTTTGCAAACGTAGCCCTTAGAATTTAAATCAGTACCATCTTTCCTACCTTTTCCCCAGGAAAATACACCGTGCATTCACAAAGTCCTCCAGGCCATGAGTCTGCCTGCTTTCCAATTGCATATTTACCGCCTATCAACAAATTGGTTGCCAGTGTCCAGCCGTAATTATCCTTGGATCTTGGTTATAATTTTAGCCTGAGGTGAGGTTCACTGCAATATCATGAATAACTCTTGGGCTCTCAGGTTCTTACGGAAGATTCTAAGTTAGAAAGCTTTTATTTGGGGAATTAAATACAGTGCTGGATATTCATGCTTTTTAAAAAAGATTTTTTTCTTTCTCTAAATGTCAGCTTTTCTAGTGCATGACTTCATATTTGTTTATAGGTCATGGGCTATACAATTTCAGCCTATATAGCTCATAAAAATTGGTCAAATCAATTTAAAATAGTGCGTTTGGGTGAACATAAGAATTTAAACTCAAATGTAAATTTTCTTTTACATTTGGAAGTAGAGAGGAAGGGTTTTTTTTTGGTATGACATATTAATGTATGCTAACAGAGTAAAAATGTTATAATGCTAGACAAAATCTGAGCTATATCTTGTGACTCAAATAATCTTTGACTTCTTTTTGAGAATAAGGTCAAGCATCAAAGAGAGGCCAGACAAGAGGTACCATTTCTTCGATTAGTCTGACCTCATGAGGAAAAACAGGTGTTGGTGAAGGGGTAGAGGAGTCCCCCACTAGGACAGAATCGGAGAAAGAGCCCTAGGTTGCCACTTGACAAATTTCTCAGCCCTCCATCCCTCCCTTCTCCCTTGCTTCCTTTCTGGCCTTCACCCTACATGGCTTTGTCCTCTGTCAGTGTGTCCAATGTGCATATAATCCCACACTCCTTACATAGATCATTGTTTAGAGGAAACTTCCAAAGTGAAAGCAGCCTTGAGCCAAGAAGCCAAGAGCTGTCTTTGTTATTTAAGTTAGTCTTTCATTTCCTCGACCATGGATAAGCCACCCAACCTCTGGGTGTCAGTTGGCCCAACCACTGAATAAAGTGATCGCTGCTGGCTCTAACATGCTGTGATCTATTTTTGTAAGTAAATGATTTAAATACCTCCTAAGATGAAGGGAATGCACATTTTTGCCTCAGATAGAATTATAACCTTCAAATATAATTAGATTGATTATAGTGGTCTAATTTAACACTTTAATTCCTCAATCCTTTATATTCTACATTATTTTAAAGCTCCCACTTCCACCCTGGAAATCTTTTACCAACTGTGACTTGGGATGGTGCAGAGGGAATGAAACATAGTCATCTCAAATATATACATTTGCATGTAAATTGGAGTTCTTTCCTTCACTTTCTGTGTCCAGTGTGCAAGATGCAGTGAGCGAGTTAGGCTTGCGGTATTTGGTTCATGCTGTGGCTTGGAGATTACACCAAAACCATGTACACTAGAGTTGAGAAAGTTTAGAATCTAAAAAGCAAATCCAGAGATGTTATTTGAATGGAGGGGGTGGGGACAGGGATAAGGCCTGAGATGAGTAATGTCCATTTCACTGTCTTCATTTCAATCCTGTCTTCCTTCCATGTAGCAGTGTCTAAGGGGCAAGGCAGGGAATGTGTCTGCTCATACCCCCATAAGGTCCTAATCATCGCTACCTGAATAGAACCTCACCAAATCTCTAGGCAAAATAGCTTTCTGGGCTCTGGGCTTCACCTGTGCCTAGGAACTCTAATCTGGTTCAAGGGCTGGATAGAGAACAACCCCACATCATCCATTCTATCCTCTGGATACCTCCTCCTCAATTCACTCCCTTGCCAACAGTCCTTTCACCTCCTGTATTGAGCATTCATGCACAAAATTTGGCTTAGAAGTTCTATATCCTCAAGTTATGTTTCCCAGAGTCATTGCTGTTTTTAAAAAAAAGATGTTTAGAAACTGCCCAAATCAACAGAAAACCACATACCACATGTTCTCACTTATAAGTAGGAGCGAAGTGATGGGAACACATGGACACAGAGAGGGGAACAACACACACTGGGGCCTACTGGAGGGTGGAGAATGGGAAGAGGGAGAATGTCAGGAAAAATAACTAGTGGGTCCTAACCTTAATACCTGGGTGATGAAATAATCTATACAACAAACCCCCATGACACAAGATTACCTATAAAACAAACCTTCACATGTACTCCTGAACTTGAAAGTTTTTTAAAAAGACTGTAGAAAGAAAAAGAAACTGTCCAAATCAGGACAATTTGGAAAGCAGCTGGTCTTTGAGGTATTTCTGAGAAGCAACAGTAACACATAGGGTGGGGTCAATGGTCCCCCAACTTGAATTCACACCAAAGTTAAACAGAGTCACTTTGCCTTCCCAATTTCTGTTCTGAAAAAGTTCTTTACATCATTCAGGTCCTTTAAAATTGGAAGATGTGAGAGCATTTCATGGTTAAAATTCACTTTGACATAGATTTATTTTTCTTTTTATATCTAGGAATAGTCTAGGCCAGGTAGAATTTATTTTAGGTTGTTGAACAAAATACCACTTTGGGCTACCTGGTTCTATATATTCTATATTTATAGAAATTTACATTTACATTTGCTATAGTTGATAATTTGGCAATAAATGTTCAATGACAAATAGAATAATTATCATATGTCTACAGTGTGTCAATTTGCCTCCTAGTCTGCAAAAGGTACAGTCTTGTTCTACATCTAGAAGAGATGTAAGACAAAACACAAACACACAACACAAAACTGTTTTGTTTTCTAACAGTTGAAATGATTTCTAGTCTTGGCATTGGCTGAGAAGAGTGTGTTTAGAATATTTTTACATAAAGTGATTTTTTTGTTGTTGTTATTATGTTTAGCTTCATAAAGAAACTGAAAATGTTGTTTTGCAGATTGTTTAATTAAAGTAAAGCATTATACACATGGCTTGCAAACATTTTAAAATTATGATATAAGAAGAGAAACTGGCCAGGCGCAGTGGCTCACATCAGTAATCTCAGCAATTTGGGAGGCCAAGGTGGGCAGATCACTTGAGGTCAGGAGTTTGAGATCAGCCTGGCCAACATGGTGAAACCCTGTCTCTACCAAAAATATAAAAACATAAAAATTAGCCAGGTATGGTGGCACATGCCTGTAGTCCCAGCTACTCAGGAGACTAAGGTGCCAGAATCACTTGAACCTGGGAAGCAAAGGTTGCAGTGAGCTGAGATTGCACCACTGCACTCCAACCTGGGTGACAGAGTGAGACTCTGCCAAAAAAAAAAAAAAAAAAAAAAGAGAGAAGTGGAGCTAACATGTCCAGTGAAATTGAATATGGAGATATGAAAGAGTTTTATAATTTCACATGCTCTATTGTGTCACCCGGAACAAACAACAAATTACGGTAGGAACTAATGAGTCTAACTATCTACAGTCATCTTTGGAAAGAATGAGGCTTCTTTCCGTCCAGCCACCTAGTAGCTGTGGCTGGGCCAGTGATGGGGCTTGGAGGGTTTGCAGAATAATGTTAACATAGCCAGAAACTGCTCTTCTTAGAAAGATCTGCTTGCTGGCCATTGGCTGGTGTCTGGGTACTTTGCATTTGAGCTATTCCCTAAGTGATAATAATGACTCACTGTTTTTAGAATGTTTGTGCCAATCATGTGGCTTTTGCTGAACATCTGGTTTCTTTCTGTGAATCTGAAATTCTGAAACGTGATTGGCAGACTGCCTATGTGAGCAGGTCCAGATAAAAATCTTGGGCTTCCCCGGACAGAAACCTTCTGAACATTTTGCAGAAAAGCTCACTCTGTGTAACTCTCATATAGGAGGAAGAAAGCATGAGAAAGGCTGCCTTATGAATTCCTCCAGACTCCCCCTGTGTCTTTGTCCCTTACAATCTGACTGTGTTGCCTCATTTTGCTGCTGTAATAAATCTTAGCCAGTAGTACAACTCTATGCTGAGCCCCTTGAGTATTTCTAGTGACTCTCTGAACATAAGGGTGGTATCAGGGTCCCCAACACAGAGGGGACCAAACCAGAAAGTAAGCATGGTTACCTTTCAGAACCCCACATACATCAACTTCAGGGGATGGTAGGACATCAAGATCTGGGCGGAGGAGAAGAGTCTTTGGGAATCATCTGCCTGTGATTTGCATCCTGTACTGGCAATGGAAAGATCATAGAATTCAATGAGGCATGAAATGGAAATGCTATAGGAATAAAGTAATAGATGAATGTAAAATGGTGTGATTTTGATGGATAAGGTTATGGTTTTGATGGATTCTAATGGAAAACAGAGTAAAACATATATGAGAGATCTGAGTATATATAAAATATTTCATTTGAACTTTTGTCTTCTGAGGAGAAAAACTGCTAAAATGTGCAAAATATTCCTTTTTTTAAAAAAAATATAAGTTTAGAAATGTGTAGAAATTTTAAAGGGAAAGTTTGTTTGTTTTTTTGTTTGTTTGTTTGTTTTTGAGATGGAATCTCGCTCTGTTGCCAGGCTAGAGTGCAGTGGCGCAATCTCGGCTCACTGCAACCTCCACCTCCTAGATTCAAGTGATTCTCCTGCCTCAGCCTCCCAAGTAGCTGGAATTATAGGCATGTGCCACCACGCCCAGCTAATTTTTGTATTTTTAGTAGAGACGTGTTTCGCCCTGTTGACCAGTCTGGTCTTGAACTCCTGACTTCAGGTGATCCGCCCGCCTCAGCCTCCCAAAGTGCTGGGATTACAGGCATGAGCCACCGCTCCTGGCCTCTTTTTATCCCAAATTCCATTAATTATTAATACTTCTGAATATGGGATACATTATTGTCATGTTAGTTTTATTCCACTGCAAAAATATCCATATTGAAAATGTATAGTATTCGACTCCCCAGGCAGCTACCTGTCCATGTGGTACCTTTGTAAAGTTAGAAAAGGCACCCCTTCCTCAAAGAGTTTGACTGCCGTCTTTCTGACAATGGTTATAATAAATACTGTACCATATTTCATTAGATGTAAGATGCTAGCATTGGTCAGACTTACTCTTATTTTATATACCACTAAGAAAAACAAATGCTGCCTACAAGATGAATTAGTTGTAAGATGCCCCCTCATTGCAGATAATTGATGAAATATAAATAAATGAAGCTACAATAGAGGATGTGAATTTTGTCTTGTTAAGACATACCCCTCTGCAGGTGTGTGCCCTGCTAACTTCTCAGATCTTGTCTTCAATACCGTGTGCCTTTCAGAATCCTGACATTCCTTCATTTACCAAACACCTGAGCACAGGCTGTAGGTGCCAGCATCCCAAATCCTACTAAAACTCATAAGTATAACAAAACCCAGTTCACAGAGTCAAGCCTATGTTCTGTAGCAGTCAATACCAGGAGTGAGAACATATTCTTTGACTTGGAAAGGGGCAGTCCTGGGTCTGGGTCTGCAACTCCTTAGTTGTGTAGCATTGGGCTGGTCATGCCACCTCCTGAGTTCAGCTTCTTTCCCCTGAGAAAGGAGATCATAACATACACAGCTCAGAGCTGATTGAGAACTTTCTGGGTTCATTAAGGAGCTATCTGTGCTTAGTAAATGCCTGTTCTATTTTACTTATTGAGAATTCTTTCTAAACCATCCAGAAGTGTGTTTTATTTGTTTGTCTCTAAGACAAGCGGAAGAAAAAAAAAACATATATAAAATGCGACATTTTGAGGGTGGAACTGTTTATGCTGGCTTTAAGCTACTACCTCAGCTCCAGACCTGCCCTTTCACACCCTGATGTCAGGGCTGGAGCTCTGCAAACCACACCTCTGCTTTGCCGGCTGCTTTCTGTTGGGCTCTGTCATTAGGGACACTAGAGGGAGACCTTGGGGGTAGAAGGGGAAAAGGATCTTGCTCTTTATGTCTTTCCTGCTGTTCCCCTATGCCATCCAGTAAATGGCCCTGCATGCTGGCAGCAGTCATTGATTCTAACTTCCAGCTTCTTCCTACTGTCTGAGGCCAGCTTCAGCACAAGCTCGAAAGACATCAGCATCTCCTGGGCATTTTCATCTTTTCAGAGTCTGGGTCTCAGCTCCCTGGGGACCTTCTTCCCAGCTCTCAGGCATCGCTAGCAACTGGGTGGTAGTCTTTCTTCTGAATGGTGGGTCTTTGCTTTGCACAGTCCTCCAAGCTTCTAGGTTCCAATATAACTACATGTGTGGTTTTTTCTTCAAAGTTAAATAAAATATTTCATTTAAAGAGGCCTCTGTGTGCAGCAAATGCCAGTTTCATTTCACTCATTCATGGCACTTTAAGGACAAGTTGCAAGTATTTTATTTGCTAGTGTTCCAGGCATATCAGAACATAAAACATTCTTATTTAATGTGGAATATTTGTAGGAAGATCTGAGTGATTTTTACAGTGGATTCATTGAAAGTGATATTTAAAAGGTTTTATAGAGGAAATACATTATTATGCCCATGCAGATACATCATAATCTAGATTGGAATGTAGCAGGAAACTGTTTGAAATATAAAATAATAGTCCATTAGCTCTGAGAAACGTAAAAATCACATAACTAAAAGAAATATATTGGCTTAAGTAAATACTGGTTCAAAGCAGACAAAAAAATGCCAAGAAAAATACTGCTAAGTAGATTCTTATCCCTTATTTGTGGTCTATAAAAGCAAATGGCAGCACTGCAGTTCAGGAAATATTGGTGACTAAAAAGCAAGTCTCAACGTAAAATCGTATGAAATAAGAACAAATGCCTTTACTTGAAAGCAAAGGAAATCAAGCAACAACAACAACAAAAACCTATAAATTTGACTGAATTCCCACACAGGCTGTGTTGCATATTGACAAGCCAATATTTTTGTATAAATCAGTACAAAACCTGTAAAAAAAAAAATTGAAGGTACCCCAAGGTCATTCTCATGTATGTAGTAAAAGCCAGTCAGTATTTGCTTGGCTATGAGCACATGAATAAGCAGCAAAGGGGAAAATAATTCTGATAGAAACCAGCCTAAACCATGCCTTCAAGAGCTTCCCAGAAATTCCATTCCTATTTGAGCCATGGTTTATGGCAGTGATCAATTTAAATCTAGTCAGAAAATAGTCCATAATTTACCCCCTGATTATCTAGGTGGCTAATACCTTATTTCTCAAGTAAAGAAAAGCAGCCAGATGCGGTGGCTCACGACTGTAATCCCAGCATTTTGGGAGGCTGAGGTGGGTGGATCACCTGAGGTCAGGAGTTTGAGACCAGCCTGGCCAACATGGCGAAACCCTGTCTCCACTAAAAATACAAAAAATTAGCTGGGCCTGGTGGTGGGCGCCTGTAATCCCAGCTACTTGGAAGGCTGAGACAGGAGAACCGCTTGAGCCCGTGAGACTGAGGTTGCAGTGAGCCAATATCATGCCATTGCACTGCAGCCTGGGTGACAGAGTGAAACTCCACCTCAAAAGAAAAAAACAAAAAAAGAAAAAGAAAAGCACGCAAGGATAGAAATCACCAATCTTTTCTGTGATGTTTGTGTTTCCGTTTTCTGCCACCAGGGGCTAATGATATTACCATGGTCTATAAATCCACTATTCCTCTTTCCTTCCCTGTTGGGCTTTCAATAGGCTTAGTTCACTAGACATGGGGCAAATATATTGCTTTTTGGTAAAGATGAGTTTTGCTTGCTGACAAATATGGTAGCTCCTTACAAAATGAACAGTGATCAGAGACATTGTAAGCTAGTAGAACAATACATTGCTGTAAGTTACCCCAAATTTATTTGATTCAGCCTGGGTTAAAATACAAGCTAATGTATTTTAGGACTCAACATTTTGTTTTACATTTGTTGGACAGAACATTTGAGAACAAATTTAAGAAGTTACTGACACAAGTGTTTTCAAGGATTTTCTTCACTGATATTTAGCCTTTGTTTACATAGGGAAGAGGGAAGATTACCAGATAGTTTACATTCTTATTATCATGACATATATGCCATACTTAATTGATCCATATCATGGCATTATAGCTTTTGAATTTTTCTCTGTTTAGATAGGAAAATAAGTTTTTCATTATATTGAAAGTTCATTTTAACTGCTTCAAGAACTATTGGCTTTATTACTGAGACTATGAATGTTTATTACAGGAAACTTAATTCGGAAAACTTTGTTCACTGTAATTGGAAACCGAGTTTGCCACCAAAGGCTGATTAAACCCAACAACTATTCCATTAAACTGCTGACTCTTCCTTTAGTTTACACAGCCAAGATAAAAGAGATTGAACAGAATCTTTTCCTTGACCTCGAGAAATGAATGACTTTCACAGGTGAAAAGGATGGACCATGTCTGACAATTTAAACAGTCAATTCACCTTCTCCATGAGCCTCAGTGAATTAACAATATTTTCAACCCCTTTATGACTCTTCAAGAAGAAATAGGGCGGTTAACCTGCATTTTACATAGGCTTTCTGCTGTTTATCTTTTCAGCCCTTTATATATGGCCTTCTATTGTTTCTCTTTTCTGCCCCTGAGAAGCTTCCTCTGATACCTCTCACTGGAAGATTTGATTGTATTGGAAGAGGGAAGGAATCTCACAGGAGATCAGTATGGTTTTACCTTGTATCTGTTCTATCCATGCCTCATTTCCCTTTCTGTATTCTGTTGTGGGCAGAATCCAGGGACAAGTTGTCTTGGCATTGTCATCTTGCACAGAGCAGCACCCTGAACATAGTAAGTAGTTGGAAATAGTAACTTGAGTGCATGGCTATCCTACTACAAATTATTTCTTAATGCCCATCTTTCACGGGTATCATGGAAAATCAGGATTACGCATCACCTATAATGGAACTCATCACATTCCCCGTGCTCATTTTCCAGGTCTCCTGAATCAATGGATGGCTCTGCCTTGTATTCAGTGCTAAAAAATGGAATTCTCCAGTGAGAGCTCTCTCATCTGATGACCAAGTCCAGCCATGGTCTGCTGCCTCTACCCCATAAATGTCCTTCAATTCCAGCCTTTTGCACAATTTCCAGTTCAAACTAACCAGTGTATCTCAATTCATCTGTTGTTCCCTACTGGGTTTCTCTTACAGCAACCAAATCTGATTATAGTATTTCCTTACTTAATGTCTTTCTGTGGCTCACAACTTACTTTTCTAAAACGATCTTGATTCTTCCAATAGCTGAAAAGATTTAATATGTCCCAGCCTCTGCTGACCTCTCTGGCCTCATCTCACCTTACCCTCATTCTTGAGAATCTTTGTTTTATTTTGTTTTTGCAGAGCGGCCATTGTGATTTATTTGTCAGTTCATGAAAAGCACTGGACTTCTCATCCGGGGCATGTGTCATTCCTTCTTTCTGATTCCCTTTTTATAGAATGTTCTGATTAGTCACTCATCCAGTTGATTTCACTTATTTAAAAAAATTTCAGACAAATGTCACTTCCTGAGTGGATTTTCCTGATTACACAAATTTGTTTTGACTCTCCTGTCATATGTTCATTCCCCTAGGTTTGATCTTGTATATATACTAAATCTGTGATTAAATAACTAATTTTTATTTAGTTGCCTATTATGTATTTTCATGGCTAGAATGTTATTCTTTGTCCTAGATCCTAAGAGTAGGATACATATCCTACTAGGTAGATAGACAGGTAGATAGATAGATAGATAGATAGATAGATAGATAGATAGATAGATATGTATGATACTATATATATATATATATATATATAATCCTTTATATATAGTAGGACACACGCACACACACATAAAAGAACAGCACACACATAAATATAAGAACAAATTATTTTTAATCCAGGTTCTTAATACCATAGATCATGATTTTTTATAATGCATATTCATTTTCTGCCACTCTCTGACCCCTAACACGTGTGGGAGATTGTTCTTGGCCATGGGTTTTGGGTGGTAAGGAGATAAATGTTGTCCTTAGCCTCAAGGGGCTCATAATTGTTCAACTAAATTTGCTTAAAATGAACCTTGTCTGTCAATATGTATAGATGAAGTATACCTAAAGCATGTTGTGGCTCATTAGGAATGGTCTTAGGAAGTGTTGGGTTGAGAGGCTGAAATAGTAGGTCATCTAAAGTGCATTAAGAAGGGAGCCCACTGGATCCCAGTCTCTGCCACCCCAACAAGAGACTGATCAGCCTGCATGTTATTGAAGGCAGAACCATTACAGAACCTCGAGGGGCAAGGTGCTGAGGTGGAATAGGGGACAGAGGAACTGGGTCTCCTCTTTCATTCTGCACACAGCATCTGTGGGCATGTGGGTGAATTAGGTCACACCCCTGGCCATTATAAGGTGTTTGGGATAAAAATGCAGTGGCATTTGTGAAGTGTCTAGCACATTGCCTTTGATCTTAGTCAACAAATGAACGCTTGTTTCTTTCCCTGCCCTTTTTCCTCATCATCAGACCCATCATTCTAAAATACTTTCATATTCCCTTCCTGCTAACTAGGGAATCAAACTGATGCCTAGGTGTGTCCTTGTGTTTTCTGCTTGTACAGAATTTTTAAAAACTCATATATAGTGATATAAGCTATATACATAGATTTATAATTTATCCCACATGAGCTTTGAGATTATTTTTATATGTCCTCCAGCTATAATGAAAATTTCATAAACGAACAACCCCTTTTTATAGTTTTTTACGTTACCCCAAAATGCTCTGTTAGTGCTTTGTGGACAATAGTTTCGGGTCACCTGCCTATGGAAAGAGTAGGTGTTCATGAATGCTGAAATGGTCTCAAGAAAGAAGAAGAACTCAAAGCCAAGGACCTGATGATCTACAGAATGTCTGGTACAAATGTTTTAAGCACAGGAGCGACCTGGCTGATGTAACTGCATGACGTTTGCTAACTGGCCTGTCAGTTTACAGACCCCATCATCATTTTCTAACTCCTTCATTTCCACTGACTCTTTCAGCAGAATGAAGGTATCTTCTGACATAATGTTGACTGGCACCAAAAAATTACACATGAAATTATGAAATCTTTTAATTAACTAGTTACTAGTTAACAACATGTATAAAGTATCTGCTATTTTATTCTATGCTAAGCATTCCAGATTCAGTGATGAGCAAAAATGCATGGCCCCTCCGTCTATCCTGTTTATACAGAAAGGATCTTATTCCCTCTCCAGTGTCCCAGTTTACCCATACAATATGCTCTTGAAATATACATCACAGGATGCATTGTTGAATGTTACACAATGTTGAATGTTATACAACATAATGTAGTTAATTTCCACAAGAATAGTTTTATGAGTTCCTCAATGCCACAGTTATTATTATGCATTCCTAAATAACATCAAATCTTACAAAAACTGAAATAATTATTCCAGGAGTTAGCAGTCCACAGGAAGTATTTTCCTCGAGAATGACTATAATCTGATTGTCCATATTTTCTCTTTAAGCACTGTATTAGTCTGTTCTCATGCTGCCAATAAAGACATAACCTGAGACTGGGTGATTTACAAAGGAAAGAGAGTTAATTGACTCGTAGTTCAGCATGGCTGGGGAGGCCTCACAATCATGATGGAAGATGAAGGAGGAGCAAAGACACATCTTACATGGTGGCAGACAGGGAAGTGTGTGCAGGGGAACTGTCCTTTATAAAACCGTCAGATCTTGTGAGACTTATTCATTATCATGAGAACAGCACAGGAAAAACCTGCCCCCATGATTCAATTCTCTCCCACCAGGCCCCTCCCATGACACATGGGGATTATGGGAGTTACAATTCTAGATGAGATTTGGGTGGGGACACAGCCAAACCATATCAAGCACTTTAGAGTAATCATTTAAGCCAACTCACAATGAAAACATAACATGATACATGATATTCACGTAATTCAAGCTGTAAGGCCACCTCTTTTGCTAAACAGAAACAAAGGAAACCCAATGAAATATTAACAGTAACTAATCAGAAAGCAGCAAAGCACATGAGAGCCCTGCATACAGCAAGTGCTCCTGGCCCTGCCATGAGTCAGCCAACTTCCAGAGCCCTAAAAGGAGAACTTCTGTAACTTCAAGCCAACTGCACAGTGGCACGGAGCCCTTGTCTTGGAGCCTCAGCTGCTTCAGCGTTAGAAATGGATCCTGAGAATAGGTCTTGTGAGCAGAGAGTGGGGGAATTAAATGAATTCTTCTTGCTGAAACTGAATGTGCAAATCTGGTACTTAGACTGTATGTATGTGTGAAAAAGGAGGATGAGGTGTGATTAACAAAAGATAAGTCGTCTGTCTATAAGCACTACATTTTCTGGTGATTTTTTAAAGATTGTTTTTCGCTATATATATATATGTGTATATATATGTATATATGTATATATATGTATATATGTATATATATGTATATGTGTATATATATGTATATATATGTATATATGTGTATATATGTATATATGTATATATACGTGTATATATACGTATATATATACGTGTATATATATACGTATATAATATATATATACGTATATATATACGTATATATATATATATGTAATCCCATCACTTTGGGAGGCCGAGGCGGGTAGATCACCTGAGGTCGGGAGTTTGAGACCAACCTGACCAATATGGAGAAACCCTGTCTCTACTAAATATACGAGAAATTAGCCTGGCGTGGTGGTGTATGCCTGTAAACCCAGCTACTCGGGAGGCTGAGGCAGGAGAATCGCTTGAACCTGGGAGGCAGAGGTTGCCATGAGCTGAGATCGCTCTATTGCACCCCAGCCTGAGCAACAAGAGAGAAACTTCATCTCAAAAAAAATAATAATTTTATAATAAAAAGTCATTTGAATTAATAGAAGAGGACACCACAAACTAAGTGAAAATTGAGCAATGAGCCAATGGGTTAGTGATTCTCAGGTCACCATCTTTGGCCTGAAAATGATTTTCACTCAAATCCCAAGCCAATATGACTGCTATAATCCCCAAGAACATGTAAGGATAAGAGAAAAAGGGAACAAACTGCATCACCACTTTTAAATGTGGTATGTCCTGGGGCTGTTGCTCTGATAAGGAAAAGCTGCAGCATCTGGCATCAGGCATCCATCCTACCTCATTCCTTGCCATCTCTTGGGCCACATGTCATAGTGATGCCCCCAGCCAGCCTTCCACATAAGTGGTCCTACCAGCTGCTACCTGGAATGGAACTGAGAGGCCAGATTCATTTTCCAGGAGGAGGCCCCAGTGAGCTTAGACAACATTCACCGAAATGACGGTTCTCTCTGCCTGGAAAACAGCATCCCAGCTCAGGCTTATGTTATACCCCAGGGTTTGGTGTGTAATGACAGAGGCCATCGATCCATTCTGGGGACACTCTGGGATCATAGAGCCCCTCTCCCATTTTTCCCTGGTGATAATCTTGCCCGTAAAGGGAAATAGATAGACCACGCTTTGAGGATTCTGTGGCAATTATAAAGCCTTGGAATCTTGCAGGCAGGAGACTAGACTTCTCAGTGTCCAGCACTAGAGAGAGGGCTGTGGGGAGGGAGGTGCTCCTTTCACAACCAAGGGTTCAGGGTCAGTGGAGGTCGGCAACCCTCTCCCCTCCCCGTGACCCCCTCCGCACACTCTACCAGTGGTCTGACCTTGGGCAAGGTACCTACCCTCAGTTTTTCTCATCCATAAAATGGGATACTTTACATGACATACATCACAGGAGAGATGTGAGGATTAAATTAGCCAGTGTGTGGAGAATGACTGGCACAGTGGCTGTCATGCAGAAAGCACTCAGTAAATTCAGTTGGCAGCCAGTGTCTTCGCTGTCCCTCCTCACCTGTGTCCTATGTGTGCTCATATGTGGACAGTGCCCTGGTTGTTGTTGCAGTGAGAATTAGCAACGAAGGATTTAGCTTCTAAGAGTTCAACATCAGCATTGCCCAGGAAAATTAGAATTTTAAAGGAGCCTTCTCCTGTGGACTCAAAATGAATGGAATTTTAATTCTGCCAGATTTGTGTTAGACTTTGACTGTTACCAAGATATTTAACTTTCAAATGATTAAGTTTGCTAATCTACAAAATAAGAGTATTGATTGATATTAACCCGTGGGGTCTGTAAAGCTTCAAAAAAGGAAGGGTGAAAGTCTGACGGGGTTCAGAAGACAGTCTGTGCAGTTAGAGGCAAATGCATGCAAATTCCAGCTCAGCCAATGAGAACTTATCTCCTCTAGCTTCATGTTCCTTATCTATAAAACGAAGATAATAGTAGTCCCATAGTTTAAATAATTATGAGGATTAAATAACCTGTGTAAAATGCTTAGTGTCTGCTAAGAATTTTAGATTTGGTTCTTATCATTACATGAAATTCTATTGTATTAATCAGGCAGGATCCATTCAGCTGCAAGTGACAGAACACTTACTTCAGCAAAACGAGCTAACTTACTGCCTCACACCCAGGAATTGATCTGAGGGTTCAGTCAGGAAGGGATCCAGGAATTGAAACACTTCGGTCAGCAATTGTTTTCTTCTTTGTATCCTTGCTCTTTTGTTCTGTTCTTTCTTTATAATTTGCCTCAATCCCAAGAAGGTTTTGTCTTGGTGATATTGGACATATTCCATGAGTTTGGTTATCTCTGCAGGAGATACCGTTTCTTAATTCCAACATTTAAAACATGAAGTCTTCCATGCAGTGCTCACCAGTTCTTATTAACTTGGATGTCATTGCTGGCTCATTCCCAAAGCACTCATTGTTGACAGTAGGGTGGAAGGCTCTGATTGGCCATCCTGGATCATTAGCTCACCCCATAGCCAGGGTGGGAGTCAGCTCCACCTGACAGCATAGGCTGAATATGGTGTGGTGCTTCTCCAAAAGGAAAGGGAAAAAATGGTGCTGTATTAGTTTGTTAGTGCTGTCATAACAAAAGAACACAGACTGGGTGTCTAAAAAAATAGAAATTTATTTTCTCATAACATGGAAGCTTCCATAATATGGAAATCCAAGATCAGGATGCAGACAGGGTTGGTTTCTTTGGCGGCCTCTCCCTTTGGTTCCCAGATGGCTGTGTTCTCTCTGCATCTTCCCATGGTCTTTCCTCTGTGTGCACAGGTACTTCTGTCCAAATTTCCTCTTCTTATGAGGACACTAGTCGCATTGGATTATGACCCACCCTGAAGACTTCATTTTAATTTAATTATTTCTTTAAAGACTGTGTCTTCTGATAGGATTACCTTCTAGGCACTGCAGGCTGGGATTTCAATATATACATTTCAGCGAGGGAGGGGGACACAATTCCTCACATAATTGCTGCTATTAGAGGAGAGGTACTGTTCAGGAGTGGAAGGTCATGCTGGAATTGCCAACACTCCAAACTATCACTGGTTTATCTTATCACAGGTTGAGTTCTGTTTTGCAAAATAAGATGTGAGCTCAGCCTCGGCAATTGAGGCTGGTTCCATTTTGTGGCTCCTCCCTCTTGACTGTGGCTTCTGCTTTTCTGCCACTGGGAAGAGAAGCTGGAAGTTCAGGAGTCAGCCTTTCCATGCTTGAGCCCAGCAGAGATCTCACTTCTGCTCAACCCACTAGCAAAAGGAGTCACAAAGCCCCACCTAACTTCAAGGAGGTTGGACAATCATGGAGAGAAGATGGATACTCAGTGTGCCATCTCCAAAGGAAAAATTGAGTCACTTCAGGAAACTGCAGCAATTATCTCATCTTTTCTTCCAAGTTTCCATGCTGATATTGGTTACTGCATCATCCTATCACTGTAGAGGCACGTGTTTTTCTTCCTTCCTGCCTCTGCAGTTCAGCAGGCTCTATACTCCATCAGCATCTACAGTATACTCCATCAGTTATGTCTATCACATCCTTCTCTTCATGTTTAGTGCCATTATCTTTGTTCAAGTCTCTATAGCAACATATATAGACTATCGCAAGAAGAAGATCTAGAATATAAAAAAGCTCAGAGTTGGAAACTCTAATGGGTACTGGAAAAAGAGGAATGATTCTTCATCCTTACAGCATAAAATTCAGGACTGGAATGAGGCAAAAGACAGGAGATGAGGCTGGCTGGGCAGGTAAGCAGGAGACTAACCAATACCAGCCTTGATCAAGTCAGTCCAGAAAACTGAGAACTTGCATCCAGTGAGTGATTGGGAGCTATTGGGTAACTTTGAGAAGGGAAGGTGAAGGGTGAGGGGGACTGGGGAAATATGAAGCTCGAAGCCAGAGTCGGTGTTGGTGGAGTCAGATTTTTAGCCTGTAAGGGGATCACAGAGGTGCACAGGACTTTTGACGAGTTACTAGAGTTCTCTGTCCCTCTCAAGTTCCTTATTTATAACAAAGCAATAATTCTAACAAACATTTCCTGTAGAAGTGGACTTAGGGAACTAATGTATACAAGATAGCTCTCACTGTTCCTGAGTATAGAAAGTACTCAGTGAAAACTGGTTATAATTCAGAAGGGGAGAATCAGATGGAGCAGGCTGCCTTGAGAGAAGCTATGAGATCTGTGACAAAACACGCCCAGGCAGTTGGCAACCCTGCTTGGAGAACGCTGAAGAAATAAACACATGACTTTATTCTCCCTCGCTCTTTTATCGTCTTCTATCATTGGCCAGAGCCAACTGGAAACCAAAGCAGAAAGGAAAAAAGAACCAATAAGGGTAGACAGCAAGACAGGGAAGGCAGAGAGTGAGTTCATGGGGCAAACAGAAAACATCCAGCACCTCATTGTGGATAAAATTCAAGAACAAGTGTTCTCTCAGCTGCAAGTGATGGAAACTCAAGTTACACTTGCTTTTGCAAAAATGAGATGATTTACCAACTCATGCCATTGGAAAGTCCAGCAGTAGATTGTGTAAGGTTCAGTCGAGGTGGGATCCAGAAGTGGAAGAACTGTGGGTAAAAGCACAGAGAGAATTATTAGGGTTCTTGTACTTACATTTGAGTAGTAAAGTGGCCCTCATTAATAGGATATGATGATCTGTGCTTTGATGCAATTCATGAACAATAGAGATGGCTTTACTGTCACACACTTGCGTGTCCTTGGCCATCACTATATCACTACAGGTACACTGAGCCAGCCTGGGTCATCTGTACACTGGTTCACCTGCCCTGAAGAGTGTCATTGTCAGCAATTGATTATCTTCCAGTTTTAAACTTCTTGATCATCTCTAGTTACTGAGTGAATTATCTAACAAAAGAAATACACATTTGAGTTGATGACCAAATGCACTTTCTGCATGTGAAACTAGAACCACGCAAGCCTCATTGAAGACCCCTCCAAAGTGGCAAACCAGGCAAGGGGAAGTGTGATCAGAGAGCTATTAGCAAAGCCAAAACCTATGAAACTCTCCACCCACCACTAGCGGATCCCTGAAAGGAATCACGTGGACAACGTGTGATTTGGAAGTCCAGTGTCCCACATGTCGTAAACTCAGAATATTTTAAAGGAGTTAGATTGGAGTTAGCAAGGAGGTGAGACATGATGATAATTTTATCTCTTAGCATGCTCTTTGACGTCTGCCAGTCAAGAGTTCTTCGTTGTGCACATTTGTCATGATTTGTTACCTATTTGAAAGGAGCACAAGTATTGTCTCCCACCATGATTCTTTCATCAGGGATCTGAAGTGGAAAAAACTGATGTGGCAAAGCCCTTCTGTCTAGGGATGAATATCGAGACTCTGTATCCAGGGGATAGGTGACTTTGGTGGGCATAACTTGCCTAACATGTGACCTTCTCCCACTACAAAAATAATCAACATCAATCTCTCTCCTGTCTAGCCTAAGCTGTGCAGTATAAGAATGAATGGTTTCTTGTGGATGTGAAATAGATGTTTCCTCAGGCACACTCAATACATTTGTCACTGAATTCTTCTTGCTCTTGGGTCTGTAAGAACTGATTATGCATGTCAGATTTTTTCCTCAATTCAATGGAGTTTAGCAAAACATTCAAAGGCAGTTTTCTTAGACTTGGCGTCTCCATCATGCAGCAAATGACTAAGGTCTCCTAATGACTGTCTGCGACCATGGTTATTAATCACTTCAGGGACAGGTTTTATGCACAGGGACTTCTGCCCCTGGGCTGCTGAGTGGCTGGTGCTCATGGGGGCCCCGAAGGAACATGATGCTTCACTGTTGTATCTAAATACACCACTTGTCTCAATGACCACAGACACTGGGTTGAAGTGTGGTGCTTTCTGTATTCTCTGATGGTTTTAACATTTTCAAGTAAGAAAAAATGCACAAAAGATTTATAATTGCTTAATCCAGTCTATCATTGTTGGACATTTGGGTTAGTTCCAAGTCTTTGCTATTGTGAATAGTGCCACAATAAACCTACATGTGCATGTGTCTTTATAGCAGCATGATTTATAATCCTTTGGGTATATACCCAGTAATGGGATGGCTGGGTCAAATGGTATTTCTAGTTCTAGATCCCTGAGGAATCGCCACACTGACTTCCACAATGGTTGAACTAGTTTACAGTTCCACAAACAGTGTAAAAGTGTTCCTATTTCTCCACATCCTCTCCAGCACCTGTTGTTTCCTGACTTTTTAATGATCTCCATTCTAACTGGTTGAGATGGTATCTCATTGTGGTTTTGATTTGCATTTCTCTGATGGCCAGTGATGATGAGCATTTTTTCATGTGTCTTTTGGCTGCATAGATGTCTTCTTTTGAGAAGTGTCTGTTCATATCCTTCAGCCAATTGTTGATTGGGTTGTTTGTTTTTCTTCTTGTAAATTTGTTTGAGTTCTTTGTAGATTCTGGATATTAGCCCTGTGTCAGATGAGTAGATTGCAAAAATTTTCTCCCATTTTGTAGGTTGCCTGTTCACTCTGATGGTAGTTTCTTTTTCTGTGCAGAAGCTCTTTAGTTTAATTAGATCCCATTTGTCAATTTTGGCTTATGTTGCCATTGCTTTTGGTGTTGTAGACATGAAGTCCTTGCCCATGCCTATGTCCTGAATGGTATTGCCTAGGTTTTCTTCTAGGGTTTTTATGGTTTTAGGTCTAACATTTAAGTCTTTAATCCACCTTGAATTAATTTTTGTATAAGGTATAAGGAAGGGATCCAGTTTCAGCTTTCTACATATGGCTAGCCAGTTTTCCCAGCACCATTTATTAAATAGGGAATCCTTTCCCCATTTCTTGTTTTTGTCAGGTTTGTCAAAGATCAGATAGTTGTAGATATGTGGCATTATTTCTGAGGGCTCTGTTCTGTTCCATTGGTCTATATCTCTGTTTTGCTATAAAAAAATGATGAGATCATGTCCTTTGTAGGGACATGGATGAAGCTGGAAACCACCATTCTCAGCAAACTATCGCAAGAACAAAAAACCAAACACCGCATGTTCTCACTTATAGGTGGGAATTGAACAATGAGAATACATGGACACAGGAAGGGGAACATCACACACCGGGGCCTGTTGTGGGGTTGGGGGAGGGGGGAGGGATAGCATTAGGGGATATACCTAATGTAAATGACGAGTTAATGGGTGCAGTACACCAACATGGCACATGTATACATATGTAACAAGCCTGCACGTTGTGCACATGTACCCTAAAACTTGTATAATTTTTTAAAAAAAGATTTATAATTGCTGTTTGTGGTTGACTGTTATATCCCACAGTATTTTTTTTTTCCCGTATTGGGTACGTTCTTTGAAAAATAAAATCATGAGTTGGACAAGAAATATCAGTACAGGAGACAAACTGTGTAAGGAAATTACCTGCTGTCTTCAAGGACACAATTGTCCCTTCTGACTCAAAAACCTGAAAACTTTCCTCAGGTGAAAAGGGTTGATTAGAGTGTGATAGTTAATGTATATGCCAATTCGACTGGGCCCTGAGGTGCTCATATCGAACATCATTTCTGAGTGTATCTTTCAGGATATTTGCTGATGAGATTAGCATTTGAATTGGTGGACTCAATGAAGTGTAATATTTCCCCTTCCCCAAAGCGTGTGGGCACCAACCAATCCATTGAGGGCCCAAATAGAACAAAAGGCAGAGAAATGAGAATTCTCCCCCTTGTTTATTTTTTTCTGCCTCATTGCTTGACCTCAGACTTCTCATCTTATCCTGCCATGAGATTGGGATTTGTATTATCAGCCCCCACTGGTTCTCAGGCCTTTGAGCTCAGACTGAATTACACCACTGGCGTTCCTGGGTCTTCAGATGGTGGGGGGCACATCGTGGGAAGTCTCATCTCCATAACCGTGTGAGCCAGGTCCTCGTCGCCACAGCAGAAAACCCAAAACCTTCCGTCTCCCTGTGCATCTGTCAGAGGACGCCTGATATGACTAATAAAAGGAAGAGACTGGCCACTCAATGCCAGAAGATGAGAAGAGACAATGGGAAATTCTACCTGACACTCGTCAATGGCAAACCGTCCAGGCCTCACTGGTGAAATATGGGCATTGTCAGTGGATAGGACACAGGGAGTCATGCCCACTTCAGGAAGGCTATGAGCGGCTTCTGTGCTACTGACCTTTCTGGGGGAAACAGCCATCACTGCAGGCCAAGATGCACTTCGCTAGACTTGACTGGGGCTGCTAGCTCCTCTCTTCTCCTCAGGCTCCTGCAGGCTACAGGCCATTTCCACACCTGCAAAGAGGTGTCATCATCAGTCAGGAGAGGAGGTGGTCAGACAGCAGTGGGACCACAGGGGAACACAGAGCTGTCAGCCCAGGGACAAGGGATTGACCGATGGGCCAGGCCTCTGCAGTGACAAATGTCACAGCTGGGCTGTTTCTTTCTGAATTAAGGTGCCCCCATTTGTCTGACTGATTCACCAGGGGAAAATACAATAGACAAGTTCTCAGGGCTCAATCTACTTGAAGAAGCCTGAACTATACCATTGAGAACAGAATTTATAGCCACAACAGGGGCTTTCTTTATCCAAACTTTAGTTCTGGTTTTCCTTTTGTTGATGAGTTAATTTACGTTCAAATTTAGAAAATGAAATGTGTTTTAAAACTCCAAGTGCAGCTCATATAGGAATTTTCAAGCCCTGTAACCTATCAGAATAACAAATGTGAAAGCCCACAGTGGTTAGGCAGGCAGCGTGGAAGTGTGTCTTGGCCTGTTGGCACTGGAACAAAGTTACCAGCCAAAACTCTGCTTCTTGGGGACACTCAGCCTCAGCCACCTGCTGCCCGTGGCAGCCAGAGCCGCCTGTCCCAAAGGTCACTGCCCCTAGGTGCTGACAGGAAGGGCTTCAGAGCCACACTGCAGCTACTAATCCCAGCGGGGCCACCAACTAGCTGTGGGACCTTGGCCCAGTCAGCTAACTTATCAGGGTCTGTTTTCTGATTAGTAAAACAGGAAAACTAACAGTGTCAGCCTCATGGTGAGTGTTGAGTCCAGGATTAAATACATAAATGCAGAGAAATCATTTAAAACAGGGGTAGCACACTGGAAATGCTACATAGATGTTACCTACTTCTATGGTACATTGATTTTCGTTTTAAAAGATACCTTAAAACATGAATTCTTACGTGAAGTCTCTTTAGATATGGACAACTAATTGAAATATATTGAATTCATATATTCATATTTATGTAGTATACATTAATATATAATAAATTCATATATACAATAGAGCTTGAAATACATATATATAATATAAACATACATGAAAATATATTCAATACTTTTAAGTATAGTATATGAATATAAATGCAGTATTTATGTCAATACACTCACATATTTGCATATATTTATTTGAACTTAATATGCCCTGTATTTGCTATGGGCTGTGGGACATCTGTGAATAATCTCTGAAGGAAAACGCTCTTCTGTAACATGTGCTGAACCTGTGAATGGGAGAGAACTAGCATCCACATTGTCCATAGTAGAAAATGATGGTCTTCTTTGGAGATGATCTCCGTTTCCAGAAGGAGAAGCCGTGGCTTGCCCATCCTCTTCAACTCCTTCAGCACTGATTGTTCCAACCGTGATAGCCTGCTCCAAAGTTTGCCCCACCATTGGCTGGCCAGTGGCCAATCAGATACTCTCAATGCCGTGATCCGAGATTGGGCTTTGGGCCCTGAACTGTGATGTCACAGAACCTGGGACCTGCACCCATGCTGGGCTAAGACAAGGGGCAGAGGCAGAGAGAGAGAGAGGAGCCACCCTGAGAAGGAAGAGACCAGGTGGGCTCTGAGACAGGGAGACCCTTTCTACGTCGGTGCCTTGACATGTGACTTTTTTGTCACTTCGTGCTCCAGGATCACACCTGGATGAACTATCACTTTCAAATGACCTTGTCTTTTCTCGGGCCTTCTGAACTGATCATCTCTTCCTTCTGATACAAGAGGATCTTCCCTGGAAGACCACTGCACACCTTCTAGTAACACTGCGACCCTGGGTGAGTCACTTAACTTTTCTGGGCCTCAGTTTCGTCATCTGTAAAATGTCCAGAACACCTCCCCAATTCGACAGAGCTGTTCTCAGGATCAAAAGAGCAAACTCAGTTCATCCGTGAGACACTTGCCTTTTGCGTGGCCCTCAGTAGAAATCATATATCTTCTTAACAGCCACTTGATTTTTCCGAACCTTTGCCAAGTAAAAGTCTGTGTCAGAGCTCACAGACTCCACACTTGTGTCCCATCAGAGTCTCTGACCAGGGACAGTAACCTTCAAAGTGCAAACAGGAAATTAGCCTCCAGCCACTGCTGTTCCTCCAAGTGCCACGTGGCACTCAGGCTCAGGTAGGCAGTGGGGCTACAGATTCTTGTTTTTACACTTGACTCAGTTTCCTTATCTGTAAGTGGGGATAACAATAGTAACCATGTGAGAGAGATACATATGATATATACCTCTCCCTATATTTGCTATGGGCTGTGGGACACCTGTGAGTATATATATATTATACTCACAGTATAATATATATATATATATAATCATGTGAGATATTTATCTATCTATCTTCTATCTATCTATATACACATACTACAAGATGAATATGAGATATGGAGATGAGACATCCCCAATGTGCCCCCCACCATATATACTTGTAAATATACAACAAGCATAATCATGTGAGAGATATATACTATGTAACAATAGTAATAGTTAACATATATGATTGCTAACAATAGTTATGTGAGAGATGTATATAATATATATCATATATATCTCTCCTGTAATTACTAAAAATATATATGGTCTATCTCTCTCACATAATTACTATTGTTAGTAATCATATATATTAACTACTACTATTGTTAATATATATATTAGCAAAACATATGGATTAAGTAATCTAATGTTCTAATGCCTATAAAGTGCCTAGAGTCTGTCACATAGTGTTGTATAAATATTAGCTATTACTATTCTCTTATTGTATCCAGCCAGCAATTCAACAGTACTCACTGTGATTATTCTAAATTACACATCTAATTTTCTGTTAAAAATTCTTCCATGGCTCTCCATTGCTCTTGGTTGGGCTGACCCCTGCCCACCTCTCCATCCTCATCTTATGTTAGATGCTCCTTCCCCGGCAGCCACACTGGCATGTTCTGTCTCTCTTTCAACCCTGGACAGGTGGTCTGAGGCCCCTACCTCCTACCTGATGGAGATGACTCTTGCTTATCCTATGTTTCACAGCTCAGGGCTTACCTCCTCTGGGAAGGCTTCCTTGACCCCCCAAGTTTGAATTAGATGTCCCCCATCATCTTAGACTTACTGCCGTCAGAGCACTTTCTGCCTGTGCAGTAATAATTAGTTTGCCCGCTGCCTCCTCACTAATCAGTGAGTCCACCTGCTTGTGTGCTTTGCCCGAGTGGATGCAGCCTAATCACCAGGAAACTTCTCACCCAACAAGCAACAGGTGTTTCTAGGATTGGTTCATTGACTCGAGTCAGAGCTCTGGAAAAGCCTCTGCAATTCTTTTGGTCTTTCCTCATTGGCACAAGGTGGCTGCCAAGGCTCCAAATATTTGGTCCTCACAAAATCACCTGAAAGTGGAGCAAAGGGAGGGGCTTTCTTCACACTTCTCCAGCTTAAAAGAGCTGGAGGGAGAGGAAGGGGAGCAGGGTGTGGAAACTCTGGAGACTGCTCAGTTCTCAAGAGTCTAGAACTTCCTGAAAAACAATGCTGTAAGTACTCTCCAAAACCTCTTCCAGGATTCAGTGGCTTTACCCCCAGTGAAAGTCATATGCTTCTAAATCTATGAATGCTTTACTATTTTATATAAAGTTAGTGGGGAAGGCAGATATCTATATACTGAAGATAAAAGTACCAGGCATAGTTATCAAAAACCTTTGTTGTGTAATACATAAATAAGGGGAACCAAGAGATTGTGCAGTTCTTTTTGGCTCTGGATCCCCCCTGAGCTTTCTCCAGCACTGGGAGTGTCTCTTCTGGATTTTTAGCTATCATAGGTGTCACTGGCCTAGCTCCTATCATTGCCAGGTAGGGCTGGGGCTGAGATTTCTGCCTGTAGTGCTTTCTGGACACCTTCTTGCTTCCTGAAGGGACCAGAGGGTTCAGTCATGGCAGAGGCACTTTCTGGCCTGACAGATCAGGGTGAGGACTAAAACTGCAGAAAAGAACAAAGCCACCCTATTGCCTCCTGCTACTCAAAATCTTATATTTTTTTTAAAAAGAAATATTTCCATAGTTTTTTTTGGGAACAGGTGTTATTTGGTACATGAGTAAGCTCTTTAGTGGTGATTTGTGAGATTTTGGTGCACCCATCTCCCGAGCACTATACACTGAACCCAATTTGTCATCTTTTATCCCTCACCCCCTTCCCACCCTTTCCCTCTGAGTCCCCAGAGTCCATCATGTCATTCTTATGCTTTTGCATACTCCTAGCTTAGCTACCAATTATAAGTGAGAACAAATGATGTTTGGTTTTACATTTTTGAGTTACTTCACTTAGAATGATAGTCTCCAATCTCATCCAGGTTGCTGCAAATGCCATTAATTCATTCTTTTTTTGTGGCTGAGTAGTATTCCATCATATATCTGTATATATGTATATGTGTGTGTATATATATATATATATATATATATATATTCATATAACAGTTTCTTTATTCACTTGTTGACTGATGGGCATTTGGGTTGGTTTCAATTTTTGCAATTGTGAATTGTACTGCTATAAACATTCATGAGCAAGTATCTTTTTCATAGGATAACTTCTGAACAGCAAGTCTTCTAATTTTGGATTAATAGGTTTCAGTTTCTCACAGAAAGAGGATGCATCCTGCTTTGCTTGTGAGAATGGGGAGATAGATAACAAAGCTTAGTTTCTGTTCCACCAAATTCTACCCCTTTTCCTAAATGACGAGGAGAGTGAAGCAAATGACCTGCTAATAACCTCCACTTTGGTGGAAAAAAAAATTATGTGGCTGAAGACTAATAATGATAGTAAATTAATAATTGAATAAAATGTCACATGTGCTCTATGAGAAAAAATATCTGTAGTCACATGTTGAACTAATTTTATGCATGGCTGCTCACCCTATATAATTGTATCTATTTATTATGAAAAATTTCAAATATGCAGAAAAATAGAAGTTTTTAGTGAAGAACCATATACCTACCAGCGCCTAAATTCTACTGTTAACATTTTATTCTTCTTGCTTTATTCTATATCTTTTCATTTCTGTCAAAGGATGATGACTCGATACCTGAGATTATGTGGTCAATCCTATCGATCTTTTCTCCTTTACGGTTTGAGACTTTTGTGTCTTTTTTTTTTTTTTTTTTTTTCGGAGTCTCTCTTTGTCACCTGGCTGGAGTGCAATTGTGTGATCTTGGCTCACTGCAACTTCCGCCTCCTGGGTTCAAGCGATTCTCCTGCCTCAGCCTCCCGAGTTGCTGAGACTACAGGAGCCTGCCACCACGCCCAGCTAATTTTTGTATTTTTAGTAGGGACAGCATTTCACCATATTGGCCAAGATTGTCTCGATCTCTTGACCTTGTGATCTGCCCACCTCAGCCTCCCAAAGTGCTGGGATCACAGGTGTGAGCCATCACGCACGGCCTTTGTGTGATTTTTACAATGACCTTTGGCTAAATCTGTCCCTATTCTCCTCTTGTACTTTTATCATTTTGCATCTTACATTTAATTTTTAATCCAGTGGAAATTATATTTATATAAGGAATGAGAAAAATCTCCAATTTGTATTTGTTTTTCTTCCCAAATTGCTAACTAGTCATTCTGCTTCCAGTTCCAATTTAGGGCTTTGGAGTTGCCCTAGAATTTCTTTATGTCCATTCCTTCTTGGCCCGTCTCCTCCATGTGTCTCCATAGATGGATGCCCTAGGTCCATGTGCTCAAATGAAAGACACATCACAGCTCTGCAAAAGGCACTGGAGGGGACCAGATGCAAAACTACAGAACTAATGCTGGAGGCAGGAGCATCTGCTGAGAAAATTAAATCTCTCTTTTGGGATGCAGAAGGGAGAGGGAGAGGCCCAGGATGGGAGAACAATAAAAGCTGTTCACGCAGCTCAGGGGCTTCTCAGATCCCACCCCACCTGTGGTGCTTAGCTTGTATTCAGCTTCAGCCCTGGCCATGCTCCAGGGCTCCTGGGCAGCCACATCCCTGGTACTATTCCAGGCCTCACTGGGCTGAGTTGCCTGCTTCCTTCTCATCTGTTAAAACCACAGGCTTGGAATTTAGGATAGCACTGGGGGAGGGGAACTAACCTCTCTTAGGAGAAAAAAATAGGGTCCAGAACACAGTTTTTCAGGGAGAGAACCTGGCCATAATGAACAAGGAAGAAAGAGAGGAAGGGAGGGGGAGAGAATACAGTGGTGTCCATGAGAATCTGGGTTTTGAACCATGACAATGTTCATAAGTATTATAGGATCTAGGGTGTGATAACTTCTCTGAATTTTGGGTCCCCACCTATAAATGATCACATAATTGTTCTTACTGCTAAGGGTTTTGAAGGATTGAAACAATCTATGCAAACTGCTTCACTCAATAGCTAGCAATAGTAGTCACTAAAAAATTAATATTTACACACACACATACACATGTACACACAGGCACATGTACAAGGAAAACATAAGGAACTTCTGGCTACTGCAGGACCCTGACAGGGATCCTTCATTCTCCTCATAGACAGATTCAAACTTGAACATGCCAAAATACTGAGCCCCATCACATGACTTTCCCAGGCACTGACTTGAGCTGTCAGGGTATTTTGTGGTTCAGAAACTAAAGGAACACAGTGGGGAAGGCAGAGGAACATGGCTGAGTGAGTCTGACACTTTTGTCCCTCCACCCTGGGAGTCTAAAAAAATCAAGGCCTCTTTGGTCTTTGTATCACAAGATATCAACAATGAAGATGACAGGCCTGGTGACAGTAAGGAGAAAATGGGTGAGCAGAGCCCCCGGGTCAGAAAGACCTTGGAGGGCAGTCTCTCTAATGAGGACTGATATGGTTTTGCTCTGTCTCTTCAACCAAATCTCATCTCAAATTGTAATCTCTATGTGTCAAGAGAGGAACCTGGTGGGAGGTGATTAGATCATGGGGGTGGTTTCCCCATGTGGTTCTCATGATAGTGAGTGAATTCTCACAAATCTGATGGTTTTGTAAGTGTTTGGTAATTCCTCCTTTGCTCTCTGTCTCTCTCCTGCCACCTTGTGAAGAAGGTAATTGCTTCCACTTTGCCTTCTGCCATGATTGTAACTTTCCTGAGGCCTTCCCAGCAATGCAGAATTGTGAGTCAGTTAAACCTCTTTCCTTTATAAATTACCCAGTTTCGGGTGTTTCTTTATAGCAGTGTGAAAACGAACTAATATAATGGGTATCAAGAGTGTGGTACTGCTATAAAGATAATCTGAAAATGTGAAGGCCACTTTGGAATGAGCAGATGTTGGAACAGTTTGGAGGGCTCAGAAAAAGACAGGAGGATGTGGGAAAGTTTGGAACTTCTTGACTTGTTAAATGGTTTTGACCAAAATGCTGTTAGTGATATGAACAATGAAGTCCAGGCTGAGGTGGTATCAGATGGAGATGAGGAACTTATGTTTAAAAGGGAAGCAGAGCATAAAAGTTTGGAAAATTTGCAGCCTGATGATGCAGTAGAAAAGAAAACCCCATTTTCTGGGGAGAAATTGAAGCCAGCTGCAAAAATTTGCATAAGTAACAAGGAGCTGAATGTTAATCACCAAGACATGGAGGAAAATGTCTCCAAGGCATGTCAGAGATCTTCAAGGCAACCCCTCCCATCATAGGCCTGGAGGCCTAGGAGGGAAAAATGCTTTCATGGGCCAGCCTCAGGGCCCTGCTTCTCTGTGCAGCCTTGGGACATGGTTGCTCCCCAGTCACGCCAGTGCAAGCAGTGACTAAAAAGGGCCAAGGTACAGCTTGGGCCATTGCTTCAGAGGATGCAAGCCCCAAGCCTTGGCAGCTTCCACCTGGTGTTGGGCCTGTGGGTGCACAGAAGACAAGGGGTGCGCTTTAGAAACCTTTGCCTAGATTTCAGAGGATGTATGGAAATGCCTGGATGTCCAGGCAGAAGTCTGCTTCAGAGGTGGAGTACTCATGGAGAACCTCTGCTAAGGCAGTACAAAAGGGAAATGTGGGGTTGGAGCCCCAACACAGAATCCTCACTGGGGCACTGCCTAATGGAGCTGTGAGAAGACAGCCACTGTCCTCCAGACCCCAGAATGGTAGATGCACTGACAGATTGCACTGTGCACCTGGAAAAGTCATTCAATACCAGCCTGTGAAGGAGCTGCCCAAAGCTATGGGAGCCACCCCTTGCGTCAGTGTGCTCCGGGTGTGAGACATGGAGTCAAAGGATATCATTTTGGAGCTTTAAGATTGAATGACTGCCCTGCTGGGTTTCTGACTTTCATGGGGCCTGTAGCCCTTTTGTTTTGGCCAATTTCTCCCATTTGGAATGGGAGCATTTATCCAATGCCTGTACCCCCATTGTATCTTGGAAGTAACTAACTCGGTTTTGATTTTACAGGCATATAGGCAGAAGGGTCATGCCTTGTCTCAGATGAGACTTTGGACTTTGACTTTTGATTTAATGCTGAAATGAATTAAGACTTTCAGGGACTGTTGGGAAGGCATGATTGGTTTTGAAATGTAAAAAGGACAGGAGATTTGGGAGGGGCCAGGGGCAGAATGATATGGTTTGGCTCTGTGTCCCTACCCAAGTCTCATCTCAAATTGTAATCCCCATGTGTCAAAGGAGGGACCTGATGGGAGGTAATTGGATCATGGGGGTGGTTTCCCCCATGCAGTTCTCATGATAGTGAGTGAGTTCTCACGAGACCTGATGGTTCTATAAGTGTTTGGAAGTTCCTCCTTCACCCTCTCTCTTTCCTGCTGCCTTGTGAAGAAGGTGCCTGCTTCCCCTTTGCCTTCTGCCATGATTGCAAGTTTCCTGAGGCATCCTCAGCAACGTGGAACTGTGAGTCAATTAAACCTCTTTCCTTTATAAATTATGAAGTTGGGATATTCCTTTATAGCAGTGTGAAAATGGACTAATACAAGCCTCCCACCCAGCCCCACTCAGATCCACTGTATTTTCAAAGAGCAGGGGACACTGGGGCCAATCCTTCTTATCCCACAACTTTAGAAATGTTTAATTGGTAGGACCCAGAGCTGAGCACTAATAATGAGAATCTGGTAAGATTATTCTTCTTAACAAGCAGAGCTGCATTTCTGGTGTAGCTTCTGCCTGATACAGATTGGGGAAGTTCATTTGTGAAGTTCTTTCATAAGTGGATAGCAACACACCCACATTTCTTTTGGTACCAATTAAATAACTTCATTCAAACAGCAAACATGGTAATAGAAATGAATTCAATGATTCTTTGACTTACAAGAAAGATAAATTTAAAAGGAACAAAACAAAACAAGAACTCAACATTGAACAAATGCCATAATTTAAATTTTTTTTATGTTATCAAGGACAGTATGGCCATAGAAATGTAAAGAGTCATTGGAAAGGAAAAAATTAAAATATCTCTGCTACAGAATGACTCCAAATTACTGCAACAATACTGCTGGAAATTTGAAAATTAAGTGGGAAGGCTTGTATTTCAGTCTCCCTTTCAGCAGAGGACCATCAGTTCTTTCCCGTTTGCATGCTTGTATTGAAGAAAATTTTCCCCAAAAGTTCCAGTGCCACTGCTTTAGCCCTGATAGAATAGCCACCTCAGGAGACAGAGCTGGTACATCCAAAGGTTAGGAGACAGAAAGAGTTTAGGGTGGTGGATGAGAGTCTGGGGATTAAGCCAGAGAACCTGTGTCAAGTCCAGGACCTGCCTCTTAATAGCTGTGTGAGAATGCAATTGGCTGATACTTATATAGAGCTTATTGCTCAAAAGGTACTCGTACATTCTGTCCTCACTGCAGTCCTAGAGAGGTCAGGACCCCTGCCTGTCCTCTTGTAGTTCCCTGTGCATTTTATCTATGGTGCATGTTTCAGTGTGTAATTTAATAGGTTTGTGCTTGTTTGGTTAACGTGTTTCTTCTCTGGTAGGATGTAACCACCATGACTGGATGGTCTAGGTTTGGTATAGTTCTCCACTGGATATTCAGCACCTAGGACAGTGCCTAACATATCATCAGGGGTTCAGCTATTTAGTAAAGGGAGGCTCAGGGCTTTACATTGGAGAGATTGCTGAGCTGCAAAAGGTAGGAACTCAATGAATGTTTGACTCTTAAATTCACAAATGAAGAGGGGGGTCTGGCTCAATGAAAATTTAAAATCCAAATGTCCTGTACTGTGTTTGGTGCTTAATATGCAGCAGCTATAATAGAGTGCATAACCAAAGACAGAATGTTCATAAGCCTAGACTGAAATAATGCTGGTGGGAAGAGGGCATTTAAACATTCCTGAGCAGGTTGAGAATAATCGACTCAGAGTGGTTGAGTGAACTCAAGATGACGCGCTTTTGTTCTCAGGAGAATCCCCAAATGGGGTCTGAAACCTGGGCAGAGTTGTGTGGTATTTCCTCTTTCCTCTAAGAAAAAATTGTTCAGAAGAAAGAAATTCCAAAGATTCTTCCACCTTTAATGAGAAATAATTGAGAAAGTGGGAACTGTGTCCTACTTTATATTCCAAATAAAGACAAGCACTTGTGATATGATTAACTGCAGGCAGAGGCTGAACTAGATTTCACTAGGCATGGAGGGTAATTGAATTTCACTTTGTGCTCACTATTTTTCCTTGGATAAATAATAAGAATATATCCTCCAATATTTCTTGGCTATTGGCTCCTATGAAAATTTTTCTATCACCTGATCCCAAATGCTGAATGAGAAACACCAGCTCTTGAACTCAAACCACTCAGATCAGGAAAGAATCACCCTCAGTCTTCAGGAAGAAGGGGAAGAATTGTAGAAAATAGCTCAGCAATTTCTGGGCTTTATATTTGAGAAAGCAAAAATAATTGTGGCCTGTGGACCAATTTGCAGTTACTTCCTCAGTCCCTAGGTGTCTAATTTGGATGGACATGTTCCACAGTTAGAATTACCTGCACATGGGATATTTGTCCTGTGAGGTCAGAACTGTCATAGTGGGAAAGGCTAAATACAAGTCACTTTAACTACCCCCACCCAGTCAAAGTTGTAAAACCAAAACAATATTACATCCTGAGGAGAGGGCTAGCAGAGATTCACTCCACAATTAAAGATCAGTCAGTGCGGGGATCATGGCCACAATCATATTTTTGTTTATTTCACCAGTTTAGCCCCTCCAAAAAGCAGATGAAGCTTGGCCTGTGACTTTACACTATCTCAACTTCCGTCAAGCAGTAGCCCTGTTCACAGTCGCTATCTCAGATGGGCTATTGTTATTAGAACAAATTATTAAAGCCTCAGGTCCATAGTATGTGTCTACTTATTTGGCCAACAATTTATATTTTAATCCCAGGAGAGTCAGACACAATTCATATACAAATGGCATGCATTTCTTTACATCTTTGCTCCAGTATTATGCTAATGTTCCCATCCTTACTCATGATGTATTCTAAAGATATATGGACCACCTAGACATCCTGAAAAATAGCATGTTGTTTCATTATGCTGATGACATCATGCTTATTGGTCAGGGCAAGCAACAGGTGATTAGTTTGCAGAAGTCTTTAATAAGACACATACGTGAAAAAAATAAGAAATTCTGGGACTTGCCATTTCAGTATGTTTTCAGGTGTCCAGTATTCAGGGTATACAGGAACTCCACATTAAAAGACAAATTGCTGCACCTTGCATCCCCTGCAACAATGAAGTAAACATAATATCTGGTGGGACGCTCCAGGTTCTGGAGGCAGCACATTCCACACACAAAAATACTGCTGAGAACCATATATTTTAAGACACAGAAGCTGACTTGCTTTGGTCAGGAAAAAGCTCTGCAGCAGATGCAAGCTCTATTGTAGACAGCCTTGCCACTTGGGCCATATGATCTATCAGTCACTACAGTCATTACGATGTTAGAGATGTCAGGGGTGTATACACACACACACACACACACACACACACACACACATATGCATTGTGGAGTTTATGGCAAATCACAATGGGAGTTTTAAAGCAAAGCCATGAAGTTCTACAGCCAGGCCATATCATCTGTAGCAGAAATGTATGTGCTTTTCTTGTGTGAGTCCAATCCTGGCATATTACTCTGCTCCAGTAGAGATGAAACAGAGATGGACCAAGAGGGCACCAAAAGACCATGCATCTGGAACTGTTAGTTATGAGCTATGTTTTATTAGACCCTCTTTTCCTGGGTCAGGCAGGACCACAGAATCCATTATAAAATGGAAATGCCATATATGAGATTACGCCAGAACAACACCAGAGGGACTGAGTACACTGTATGATCAAGTAACCTAGCCATGCATGTCACCTGCCATGGTTACACAAGAATCATTCCATCAGCTCACTCCCAGATCTTGGTTTTCAGCTAGGTATGTGGGTACAACTAAAAAATGGATGGGGGCTGCATTACACATATACTCAGTGGTGGGGCTGAAAGGCAGTGGTGAGGGGAAATCTTCATTGTTAGAACTGGAATAAGTGTACCTGGCCATCCTCTTTGTATGAAAGTAGAATCCTGAGATGAGAATAGTTGTGGATTCCTGAGCAGTGGTCAAAGACCTAGGTGGCTGGTCAGAATCCTGTAAGGAAAAGACTGGAAAGTCTGAGACAAAAACATCTGGGAAAGAGGCACATGGATGGGCATAACGGAGTTGGCATAAACCATGAAGCTGTTTCATACATTTATGTCACTATAAGTAATCTATGATTGAAGAAGAAATCAACAATCCAGGAGACAAAATGATCCTGCCAGTTCACATGAGCCAACCTTTGTCATTATCTACTCCAGAACTAGCATGGTGGACACACTGATGTAGCCTTCATGGTGGCAAAGGTGGAATGTATAGATGGGCCCAATAACATGGACTTTAACTCATAAAGTTCATTCTCATTGCATCTCGAAATACCCAATCTGCTTGCAAGAGAGATCAAAATTGAGTTTCAATTATGACACTAGTCCCAAGGAGAACAGCCACTTTTTTCTAAGCCGATTAAATTGGATCCCTTCCATCCTGGAAAACCCAGTGATTAATCACAGCCTTAGATATATATTTCATAGACAGATTTGCTTTCCTGCTGGGGGAGCCTCAGCCAGTACCATTATCTGTGTGCTTATAGGTGGCTTGATCCACAAGCATGAAATTTCATACAGCATAGCATCCAACAGGAACCCACTTCATAACAAGGAGGTTCATGAAAGGGCCCATAAACGTAAGATCTATCAGCAATACAACACATTGCATTGCCTGGAAGGAGCCAGCTTGAGAGAATTGGAATTACTTACTAATGGCGTGGTTGAAATACCAGGTTGGGGTAATACTCTGTGAGGATAGATTACCATTTTTTAGAATGTAGTATACGCATTAAATCAGAGACCTCTATATGGTGTTGTGTAGCTAAGGGAAGACTAAATTGATCCATAAAATCAGAGTAATAAAACAATGGCTCTATTTACCATCTTCCCAATGGGCCATTGGGAGAATGTTTGTCTCTCATTCCTGCCATTCTGAGTTCTGCACGGCTAGGGGTCCTGTCCCCGAACGTGGGGTCCTGTCCCTGAATGTATGCACTCTGTCCATGGGAAAAGCAAGGTTCCCCTTGAGCTACAGGTTATGGCAGGCACCTGGGCACTTTGGATCCCTTGTGAAGATGTCAACAGATAAGGGGTCACCATGATGGCAGGCATAACTGACCCTGATTGAAAGGAGCTGAAAATGCTCTTACACAATGGGGGCAAGAGAAGAATGAGAAGAATATGCATGGACCTCAAGTGATCCACTTTGGTACCTTCTTATATTCCTTTGTCTAATTATAACTGTGAGTGAACATGTATAGCAACTCCTGACTGAGAAGAGTATGATTACCAGCAGGTCAGACCCATCAGGGATGAAGGTTAGGCCGCAGTATCAAGTCCGCCAGCAAGATCTTCACGGAAAATCCATGAGAGTGGAAGAATTTGTCATTTATACTGGAGGAGAGAGATGGTAGGAACCTCACGTGGTGCTAAGATCAACTGCAGCAACCAAGTCTGTAGTGTGTTCCATATACTCGCTCTTCTAATCTTCCCTTCAGTGAATAAGGCCCATGGGGCACATTGAGTAACTGCTTCCTGATCACATGTAGAAGACCTGTGCAGCCGAAGGGGTGGATGCTGGCAGCCTTAGATTCCAGTGCTCACATCTCCCTTCACAAAAATCTGCTTCAAATACCATAGATCTCCATCTTCCCACACAAGGTATTTCCAAACACTAACCAAAAGTTGCAGTGGGGTAGTAGAGCCAGGACATTTCTGCCCAACGTGCACCTCCCACTGGGCATTTTTGCCTGTGGACTCCTTATGTGCCTCGCTGGATTTCTTAGAGATCTGCAACAGTGTGAGTGTGAGTCTTTCTTCCCTCTCTCCACTTGCTGGCATCCAACCTGCCTCATGGTCTAAAGGCTCTCCTTGCATGTCCCTGTCTACTCTTCTCTTCATCCTTCACAAGCATTTCTCCTAATAGACCTTTCATGTGTATAATGTCATCTTGGCATCTGCTTCTCAGTGGACATGAATTGGCAGAAATATTTATCAAATGGAGAATACATAAATAAATAAATGAACAGACCAGTGTTTAAATCCTTATTTTGCAACATTATCACATATTTGTACAGTATATTTTGTCTCTTGTATTTTTGTTCTCCTCCTCTTTCTCCACTTGCTCCCCTTTTTTTAAAATAAAGTCCCTGTTTGAGGATTTCCTATTTTCCACTAAATTTATGGGCTTTGAGAGTGGCCCAACCCTCAAGTCTCTCAACCCTATCCCCAAACCTAGGTGAACACATGTCTCACAGTCCAGGACTCAAAACTACACTCTTGTCCTGACCCCTCAACCACATAGAGTAGCTACCTTGGGTACCCCTTCCCTCTCTATTGCTGCTTTCTCCTTTGGCCCCTCACCCTCTGAAACTAAGGGAAAAAAAAGAAAATTAGGATAAATAAAGGTAAAAAGGGGAGACTAGGAAATTTTGCTTAGTATTGAGCTAGTTTGCAGGGCTCTTCTTGTCTTTACAGGAAAGATAGCTTCTAAAACTCCTTCATGTTGTTTATAAGGTCCCTGCCTCTTCTAAATACAGTAGCAGCAGCAGACCCAGTATGGGTAACAAGTAGGGCTCAGTGTGTCATTTGCTATTTTTGCACCATGACAAGCCTGAACAGCTGTTCAGTGTGAAGAGCATCTCCACCAAACAAGGAGGTTTTCCAAAGGACAAAGGGAATTGTTCTGGCCTTGTGACTCATAGAGAGTAAATAGAGAGTAAGTGTCCAATTATGGCCAATTCAATATTACATTCTGGGACACTTTGTTATGCTTGAGTGTGTCCCTCTTTCTCAGAGAAAACAAGGGATGCACAGAGAAATTGCAGCCTAAATGGGAAGGTACTTAGGAAGGAAAGAGGAAGAAACCTCTTTTGCTCTTTGAGAAGGACATAAAATAAGTGAACCAGTGGTGCTTTTTTTCTGTTGTTTTATCTCAGGTCTGCCTTTGAGCTGCACTCATTCCTGTTTAGCTTTTATTGTCAAGAACATAGAATTAAATTAGGAAGAACACCTTTTCTTGAGCTCGAGATTTCCTGAAGGAGGATCTGCATTTCACATGGATGGTCAGGATACTAGTCTCTGAGCCTCTCAGTTCCTTCATCTGTATGATGGGTAATGGTAGCACCAACCTCACAGGGTGCTCATGGGGATCACCTAAAAAGCTGGTTAGGAAACTAACTGGCATAGGTAAGTAATCAAAAGATGAAAGGCAGTGAGACATGGTGGAGAGAGTGGGAACTAGAGGATGGTGGTCTGGTCCAAATGACAAAGGTCTGTTGACAAAGGTCTGTTGACAAAGTTCTAATGACAAAGGTCCAAATGACAAAGGTCAACTGTCATTAACCACTTGCGTGACACTGGCCTGCCTCTCTTGCTTTCGTTGCTTTATCAGAAAAATGGGATGTGTGCATATATATATATATATATATATATATATATATATATATATATTTGTTGAACATATATGTGTGATATGCATATACACACATATACAGACATATATTTACAAGCCTATATATATGCATGTGTGTGTATGTGTGTGTGTGTGTGTGTAGAGAGAGAGGGAGAGACAGAGACAGGGAAAGAGGGTTGCTGTATTATATAATTTAACTCATGCAAAGCACTTAGGAGAGTGCCTACATGTTGCTGCTGCTGAACACAATGTAGATCTTCTGGTCATTATAATTATGTAAGCACATAATCTAGACTTGAAGTTGGATACCCAGGGAAGTCTCAGCTGACAGCAAGATTGGCCCCCAGATTTTCCTCAGGCAAAAGGAAAAGAATGAAAGACAATAAGTGCCTTCCTCAAAAAAGTAGAAAAACTTCAAATAAACAACAGAATGATGCATCTCAAAGAATTAGAAAAACAAGGGCAAACCAAACCCAAAATTAGTTGGAGAAACAAAAAATAAAGATCAGGGATGAGACAAATGGATTTGAGACTAAAAAAATACAAAAGATCAATGAAACAAAAAGTCGGCTTTTTGAAAAGATAAACAAAATTGACAAACCTTCAGCCAGACTAAGGAAAAAGGAGAGAATACCCAAATAAATAAAATTAGGATGAAAAAGAGAACATTATAACTAACACCACATAAATCCAAAGGTTCATTAGAACCTATTATTAGCAACTATACACCAACAAACTGGAAAATATAGAAGAAATGGATAAAGTCCTAGACACATACAACCTACCAAGACAGAACCATGAAGAAATCTAAAACCTGAATAGACCAATAACAAGATAGAAGCAGTAGTAAAAAGTCTCCCATCAAACAGCACCTGCTGAATTCTACCAAACATTTAAAGAGGAATGGATGTCAATCCTACTTAAATTATTCCAAAAAAAAATCAAAGAGTAGTGAATACTTTCAAACAAATTCTATGAGGCCAGTATTACCCTGATACCAAAACCATACAAAGACACCAAAAGAAAATTACAGGCCAAAATCCGTAATGAACACAGATGCAAAAATCCTCAAAGAAATACTAACAAACTTAATTTAATAACATATTAAAGAGGTCATTCATCATGATTAAATGGGATTCATGCAAGAATGTTTTAACATATGAAAATCAATAAATGTGATACATCATAACAGTAACAGACAAAAAACACAAGTTCATTTCAATAAATGCAGAAAAAGCATTTGATAAAATATACCATCTCTTCATGATAAAAACTCTCACAACACTGGGAATAAAGGGAACATACCTCAATATTATAAAAGTCGTATACAACAAAACCACTGCTAGTATCATAATAAACAGGGAAAAACTGACAGCTCTTTCACTAAGATATGGAACATGACAAGGATGCCCACTTTCACCACTTGTTTTCAACATAGTCCTAGGAGTCTTAACCAGAGCAACTAAACAAGAGAAAGAAATAAAGGGCATCCAATTTGGGAAGGAAGAAGTCAAACTGTCTATGTTTGCAGATGATACAATCTTATATTTTAAAAAATCTAAAGACTCCACCAAAAAAACTGTTAGTACTGATAAACCAACTCAGTAAAGAATTAGAATATAAAATCAACATACAACAAATCAGTAGCATTTCTATATGCCCACAGTGAACAATCTGAAAAAGAAATCAAGAAAGGAATCCCATTTACAATAGTTACAAATATAAAAAATATTTAGCAATAAATGTGACTGGAGAACTAAACAATCTCTACAATGAAAACTATACAACATTGATGAAAGTAATTGAAGAAGACATAAAAAAACAAAAAATATTTCATGTTCATGGATTGAAAAAAGTAATATTGTTAAAATATCTATACTACCCAAAACAATCTACAGATTCAATGCAATCTCTATCAAAATACCAAAATTTTAAAGAAATTTTTTATTTAAAATCTTAAAATTTTAATGGATCTACAAAATACCCAGAATAACCAAAGCACACATGAGCAAAAAGAATAAAGGAGAAGGCATCACATTTCTTCACTTCAAATTATACCACAAAGCTGGCCAGGTACGGTGTCTTGTGCCTGTAATCCCAGCACTTTGGGAGGCCAAGGTGGGTGGGATAGCTTGAGCCCAGCAGTTCAATACCAGCGTGGGCAACATGGCAAAACCCCATCTCTATAAAAAACACAAAAATTAGCCAGGTGTAGTGGAGCATGCCTGTAATCCCAGCTACTGGGGAGGCTGAAGCACAAGAATCACTGTAATCCAGGAGGCGGATGTTGCAGTGAGTTGAGATCATGCCACTGCACTCCAGTCTAGGTGACAGAGACAAACTCTGTCTCAAAAAAATAAAAAAATAAAAAATAAATTATGTATCTATCTATCTATACTATAAAGCTATAGTAACTAAAACAGCATGGTACTTCCATAAAAACAGATACATAGACTAATAGAACAGAATAATAGAGATCCCAGAAATAAATACACACATTTACAGTGAACTTATTTTTGACAAAGGTGCTAAGAACATACTTTGGGAAAAGGACAGTCTCTTTGATAAATAGTGCTGGGAAAACTGGACATCCATATGCAGAAGAATGAAACTAGACCCCTATCTCTGCCCATATACAAAAATAAATTTAAAATGGAGTAAAAGAATTAAATCTAAGACCTGGATCTATGAAACTACTACAAGAAAATATTGGGAAACTCTCTAGGACATTGGTCTTGGCAAGGATTTCTTGAATAATAGCCCCCACACACAGGCAACTAAAGCAAAAATGAACAAATGGAATTAAATTAAGCTAAAAACCTTCTGCACAGCAAAACAAACAAACAAAACAAAACAAAACAAAAAAAGACAATAACAAAGTGAAGAGACAACCCACAGAATAAGAGAAAAATATTTGTGACCCACTCATCTGACAAGATATTAATAAACAGATTATAGAAAGTGCTCAAACAACTCTATAGGAAAAACTCTAATAATCCAACTAAAAATGGGCAAAAGATCTGAAGAGACTTCTCCAAGAAGACATACAAATGGCCAACAGGTGTATAAAAAAATCCTCATCACTTATGATCGAGAAATGCAAATCACCGCTGTAGTGAGATATCATCTCACTCCAGTTGAAATGGCTTTTATCCAAAAGGTAATAAGTTCTGGTGAGGATATACAGTGTTGTTGAGAATGGAAATTAATACAACCACTATGGAGAAGAGTATGAAGGTTCCTCAAAAAACTAATAATAGAACTACTACATGATCCAGGAATCCCACTCCTGGGTATATCTATAAAAGAGAGGAAATTCATATATTCCAGAGATAGCTGCACTTCCATGTTTATTTTAGCACTATTCACAGTATTTACACTATTCTAAGATTTGGAATCAACCTAAGTGTCTATCAGTGGATGAATAAATAAAGAAAATGTGGTACATTACACAATGGAGTATTATTCAACCTCTGAAAAGGATGAAATCCTGCTATTTGCAACAACATGGATGGAACTAGAGGAAATTAAGTAAAATAAGTTGGGGACAGAAAGACAAATATTGCATGTTCTCACTCATACGTTGGAGCAAAGAAAAGTTGATTTTATGGAGGTGGAGAGTAGAATGCTGGTAGCCAGAGGCTGGGAAGGGTTTTTGGGGGGACATAAACATGCAGTTAGAAGGAATAAGTTCTAATGTTTGATAGCAGAATAAGGTGACAATATTTAACAACACTATATTGCATATTTTAAAATAGCTAGAAAAGAAAACTTGAAATGTTCCCAACACATAGAAACAATACATATTTGAAATGATGGAGACCCCAGATATCCTGACTTGATCATTACATTTAACAAAATATCACATGTACCCCATAAATATGAACACATATTATGTCTATAAAACACTAAAAAATAATTTCCCAGTAAACTAATATCAAGCAGAGCCACTCTGTGATTCCGATAGACTAAGATGATAACTAGACCACTTTAAAATCATGTCTGAATTCTCAAAAATATAAGGATAGTAAAGAACCTACAAAAACAACCAAACATCCCTTTATTTTCCTGAATGATATGAGTGAATACAGTTTTTTCTTAATTATAGGCTTACCTTTGATCTGGCATTTCTGCCTTTTAGATAGACATATGAACATGTCCAGTTGTAGAATTAACCTTGCTTTCAGAAAGCATTTTATTCAAAGCCTCACTTCACGGAACCTACCCAAAAATCATCTGAAAGAAGAAAGCCCAAATCCTAGAATGACCTGTTTCTAATACAGTCTTCTTGAGTCACCTAATGGTTCCCATGGTGCTCACCCTGTCTTGTTGCCACAAGGCAATTAACCCAACTTTGCTAAGCTACAAGTTTGTCCCTGCATGTCTTTCATTGAAGGGTATTGGTGCCATTCTCACTAGAGTGGGCCCTGCTCTGTGCTGACCCTCTCCTCAGTGTGAGACCCTGCACCCCTTTAGCATCAGCTACTGACTCCCACTGGATGGGAAGCTCCACATGAGCAGGGCTGTTAGCATCTGAATTTGATAGAAGAGAAAACTAGACCCAGAGAGGTAAAGTAACTGCCCACACCCATGCAGCTGTAGGTGGCTGGGAGTCCAACCCAGCCTCCTGCCTTCCCAGCTCCAGGACCTGAATTCTTTCATTGCATTCTTTTTAACCAGAAAGTTTGCCTTTTTTTTTTTTCCCCAGGGTCTTCTCCATCACCCAGGCTAAATAGAGCACAGTGGTACAATTAAGGGTCACTGCACCCTGACCTCCCAGGGTTCATGCCTACCTCCCACTTCAGCCTTCCGCCTAGCTAGGACCACAGGAATGCACCATCACACCCGGCTAATTTTTGTATTTTTTATAGAGACAGAGTCTCCCCGTGTTGTCCAGGATGGTCTCCAACTCCTGGGCTCAAGCGTTCCTCCCAAAGTGCTGGGATTGCAGGCATGAGCCATCATGCCTAGCCAAAAATTTGCTTTTACCCAAATTGCTCAAACCTACCTGGTTTTCTGAGTCACATTGGGCACTTATTAAAAGTACTTATTCCTGGGTACCACCCTGGACTTATATGACTCTCCCAGTGAGAAGCCTGGCATCTTTACATTTACCAACATCATCAGGTCATTATTTTTTACCAGTCAGGTTTAGAAAGCTTTATTTGGATAACACAACATGTGTAGAGGTAAGACACCTGCCAAATTAAGTTCACCAGGCTTTATTGAAGATAAAATCTAATCAGCCATCTCCTCAGTGAGAAGTAAACTTTTATTGAAAGATACTTTCTTGTTTTTTCTGCTTCTCACTAATTCTTCCATAAAAATTATAAGGAAATAAGAATAAAAAGCTGAGAGGCAGAAGTATTTACCACTTACCATTCATTCAGGGCAATAGGCACTTTCAAAGAGGACAGGAAAGAAGAAAACAAAATTCTGTCCAACATAAAGCTTTCCCTGCTGTGAAAGGCAGCACAGTGGCAAATCTGATTGGTTTGGATCTGGTCACATTTCAAGGGCTGCATTCATAAAATACTACATTGACAAACATAATGAACTTTAATGGTGTCTCCCTTCACTAAAGGAAATCAAGGACATGCAGAGAAAAATCAGGAAACTTCCCTGCAATGAATGATTGGGTTCTAGGTGGAGATAAAGTGGACTTGGTTATATGTTCAAGAATATTGAAGATTTCTCCATCTTTCCACTCTCTGGACTGAGGGCAGGCTGAAACATTATAAAATAGGTTATTTTGGCTGTGTGCAGTGGTTTATGCCTATAATCCAAGCACCACGCGAAGCTGAGGCAGGTGGATAACTTGAGGCTTGGAGTGACAAGCCTGGCCAACATGTCAAAACCCCATCTCTACTAAAAATACAAAAATTAGCCAGGCATAGTGGCATGTGCCTGTAATCCCAGCTACTCAGGAGGCAGAGACAGGAGAATTGCTTGAACTCAGGAGGCAGAGGTTGCAGTGAGCCAAGATCATGTCACTGCACTCCAGCCTAGGAGACCGAGTGGAAGTCTGTATCAAAAAAAAAAAAAAAATTACTACTAATAAAAAAAAAGGTAACCCAGCTACCTATATGTTAAAGAAACCTGATGAGGGCTGCTTAGCAGATACTCTGACTTTACACAAAAGTGGTTAGGCGATGTCAAACCACTTTGCTTTCAGAAAGTATTTTATTCAAAGCCTCACTTCACGGAACCTACCCAAAAATCATCTGAAAGAAGGAGGCCCAAATCCTAGAACAACTTGTTTCTAATACACCCTTCTTGAGACACGTAATGGTTCCCATGGTGCTCATCCTCTCTTGTTGCCACAAGGCAATTAACCCAACTTTGCTAAGCTACAAGTGTGTCCTGGCATGTCTTTGATTGAAGGGCATTGGGGCCATTCTCACCGGAGTGGATTCAGGGAACCAAAGACCTGGATTTCCTCTCCTCTCATTCTCTGATTTCTTGCAATTAACTCTCACTTTCCAATCTAACCGGATGTTGGAGGGCAAAGAATCTAATTAATGGTGCCAAACCATATTGTTAGCCCTCAAGGGTACAGAGTGGGAGGGAAAATGGTGAAGAGTATTGAAGTGTTGCCAGTGGAGAATATCTGGCACACAACTCGAGGGTCACTGTCTTTGTTTTAGAAAAAGTACTGTGAGCTGTAAAACATTTTCAGTTTTTCCATGACCCCATGACCGGCAACAGAAGGTATCTGGAATAAGAGTGATTCATACTCTAAAGAATACAATAATAAAAATTCCTATAGACCAGCATAGCACCAAACAAACTCTTGTAGCCTTGGGAGGTACTAAGATGAAGAAGGATAATTTCTGGGCATGAGGAGCCTCTCAGAAGGGAACAAGAGTTGATACAGCAGCAACCTGTGTGACCCAGTTACCTAGTACAAGATAGGATAAAGGATGTCTCTGCAGAGGGCTGCATAGTCCAAAGATACCATGTAGGCCATGATACTGTCTAAGTCATTTGAACAGAGATACAACTTTGGAGAGACGCAGTGGCAACCCTAAATCATTATGACAATGGCAATCACAAGTACTAGGCACTCTTGCAAATGCTTTGTATTGACTCATTCACCCATTGCATCAACTCTAGGGTGTGCATTACTGTAACCCCCACCACAGGGAAGTTAATCTTGCTCAAGCCCTCATAAATTGAGTAAGGTCAACATTCCTGAGAGATGAGAGGAGGTTAAAAATAGAGCTTAAGTAGAATTGCAGAATAAAGCAAGATAAAATTATATGTCTTGATTATCTGAATTTGTGGATGGAGTTGTGTGCCTTCCACATACAGATGGTTTTTCCTAGTCTTGATTGCTGCTGGAAGAGATTTCAGGAGGCATCCTAGGCACAATGATGGTTGAGTTTTTGTTTCTGGGTAGCCACCAGTCTGCCTGATCATATAAATACAACATCCTCATGGCAGGTGAGCAGCCTGAGGTCTGAAGGAAAGTAAACTCAGTCCCAATAGATAGGAAATGCTAAGAAGGGCCTAGAATTCAGACACAGAGCTCCTGTGGGGTAGTTCCTGCGTGGTAGATACAGGAAACGACAACCTCTGAGAGTCTTCAACTTCAGCTAAGATCCAACCTTGTGCCTTTTAAGGAGAAGCACCTTAAAGCAGAGATTCCAAAACCTTGCTTTGAAACATTTCAAGGTGTCTCTCATTAAAGGAATGCAATACATATGTAAGTGCTTAATAATTTAAATATATATATTAAATATATATTAAGTATACATGTATATTTAAATATATACTTTAATATACAAATACATATTTTAATGTATATTAATATATATATTTGAATTCGTATTAAGTACTTTTTGAATCACTTTAAATGTCACGAATGAGTGGACAGGATGTCACAAAATTGTCACAGATTGTAGTCAATTCAAATGCTTAGGAATCATGTGTTGCATGACCAAATTTCCTATGACACCAGCATTTTTTCTATAGTAAGAGAGCCTCAATATAGCACATTCGACGTGTTTCTTGTGCACAGACATGGGCTGATTCTTTATTAGCTACACAGGTCAGTGACAGGACCAAGCAACATCAAATCTGTTGACAAACTGAGTGATAAAACAATCATGTCTACTCCTGTTTATTGTATTCTTTAGACATTTAGTAGGTCTGTGGTGGGGATCAATGCTGTGTTTTTCCCCCAACCTCAGAGGTGGCATTGAAGCTCCTGGTCCTTAAAAAGCACTCTGAGCATCGTGGTTCCAGAAGATCCCCTTAGGCCTCATAAGCCAGTATTGCATCACTGTTCACCTTTGGTTCTAAGGGAGGCAGGAAAAGCATTTGGCAAAGAGGAATGGGAAGTCAGGGCTGCAGCAGACCAACCATGACTCAGTCTCTGGGGCTGGGCAAATTACTGTCTGGACAAAAGCAATTTAGCCATAAAGAAAAAACAATGACTATCGGGAAGAAAATTGTTGCTGCCAAGGCAAATGTTCCAGAGAAGCTCGTGTAGGAAAGAAAATGGACTTTCCGAGCATGTTTCATCTCTTAGGAGAGCTCCCTTTGTCTGTCTACTCCCAGTATCCAATATATGAGTTGCAGTTGCCCTTTTATTAACTTCTCTGATTTTTAAAAAACACTTTCAAACATACAGAGAAATTTAAAGGAAACTATAACAAAACTGCATGCACTGCCCAAATTCAATGAAGATTCAGACTTTGCCATATTTCCTTTATTTATTTTGGAACCATTTCAAGAAAAATTACAAACAGCATGATACTTCTACTCTAAATACCTTATCACACATCTCCAAAAAATAAGGAATCTCCTGTATCAGCTAACACTATTTTGATGTTTAACAAAATTAGCAAATTATTCATTTCACCTGGTCCACATTTAAATTTCTCCAATAGTCCCCTAATTGTTTGGTGTAGCAGCTTTTAATGGATCCATGATCCAGTCAAGAATTAACTGATTTCACCTTAACTGTTCTCGTCTCTTCCAGTCTCCTTGCTCCTTATACTTTAGACTATCACTGGGTCCCCTGACCCCCTTCCTTTACTATTCAAACCCCAGATGGATTATTCTCTCAAAATTTATGCTACTTATTTTTCTCTCTTCAAGGGAGTGTCTCACCTTACCACTCAAGGGCACCACTCCAGTGCTACTGAATCTGGAACACCTACCATGTCTTGGATTTGACCTGTGGTTTATCATCTACATTTCCTGTCATTATTCCCTTTGCATGCTCCATTTTACCCATCATTTCTTTCTTCCAAATTTCTATCCATCCTTCAAAGCCTGAATTCCGTGTCTGATGTTTATTTGATTAGCTCAGATCAGAGAAACCCCCCATTTTTAAAATGTAACAACAATCAGTCCCATAAAGTCTTGAACTGAAGTTGTTTCTATGCACATTTGCTCCATCCATTGGCATTCTAAGACCTAGAGGCAGGGTTCCTGTCGAATTAGCTCTATGCTCCTAGTGATTTGGGTAGTCCCTGCTCCATGGTACTTACTAGGTAAATGTTTGGTGAGTGAATGAAGGTGTGAAAATGGTTAAAGACATGCTGATTCCATCTATTAAAGATACTCAAAGTGGCCACTATCCTGAGTACAAGAAAGCTCCTGTGGATGCAAATTCTTCAGGTTGTCTAAATATTTGAGTGACATAGAAAATATAATTCCAAACAGCTTAGGTACACAAGATAATTTGTTGATGTAACTCTTTATTGGAAGAAATGAATTCCGGCAAGGCTGGGATTGGGGCTCACACAAGGATACCAGGATTTGGTCTCCATCTCCTAAGTCTTCCCTTATCCATGTTAACTTCATTGTCAGGCTCCACATGGAATTGAGATGGGATCTGGGAGGGCTGTATCCTCTCAGGTTCAAGTCCTATTAAAAATATGTTTTTCCTCTACACAATAGCCCCAAAAAGTCTTATCTCTCATTTACTCATTAGGTCAGTAACTATTCCTAAAGTACTGTGGTTATGTCAATGAGATGCTTTGATTTCCCTGATATGAGGTACATATTTAATTCCAGAAAAGAATGAGAGCATTCTATGGAAGAAAAATGTTATCACCTTTTTTCCCCCACTGTGTGATAAAGTAAAAGATATCTATTGAAATTAATGAACATTTTAAAAGTTACTAAATCTAGAATAATAGAACAGATATGGATAAATTTGGTTCATTTGGGAACCAACTATGGTTTAGTACAGGAAGAGCAATTAAGTAGCTCTTATTACACCATAACCACTCAGTCTTCCTGACCTGCAGCAGATGTTCCTAGTCAATATTGTCACTTTTCCTTCTAACCCTAGATGCATATTTAGAAAAATCTCAGCACATCTCTGGGCAATGAAATCATTCTTTTGGGACCTGACACATGAACTGAAGTGTAATTGGCATTCTTCGTGGAAGGGGCATGGATTTAAATTGTCGTGAGTTCAAATACCAATCCCACCTAGCACTTACTATACAGGCGAATGTAGATAAGTGATATAACTCTTATAAGTTTTTATTTTTTTGTCATTTTGGAAAGTGGGAAAATTAAATATCTATCCATATATTAAGTGAGTATAGCTAAGTTCATAACCCAGGCAGTGTTAAATACGTGCTATTTTGCCTTCTCCTTCCCAAAAGAGATCCTCTCTGCACTGAGTGGAGCTTGTGGGGTCCTCTCTTTGAGGAATTGAAGGCAAAGAAACCTCAGCCTGTAATCAAGTAGTTATAACTCTCCCTATGAAATTCAAGATTGAGGGTTTCAACTCATCCAAATCACCTTGCACCACCTATCTTTGGACAAATGATAGTCTTGGAAGAACAAATGTGTTTCAGGACACTAAAAAGACTTAATCTATGATTGAAAAAATACTAGCCCACTCAGTACAAAACCTTTGTAAGACTTCACTGGAAAATTTTAACAATGTAATTTGTGACAGGGGGTTGCTGCCTTTAGAGGAGAGGGCATCCTGCATGGAGCTGCTTGGCTTAGGGATCAGCCCTGCCCCCAGGACACTTAAGGCAAATCAATAGCTCCTGGATAAGTTTCTCCTTTAGAGGCTGTTTACACTTATTTTTTTTTCTTTACTCTGAAGACACACAATCAATAAAACATGAGTGATTACCTAGCCTGAACTGAGTATTTATTTCTTATGCATCAAAAGTTTGGAGAAAGCATTTCGATTCCAAAAATTACCTTTTCTTCTTGTCCACTGGGAAGGTGCCCTTGCCTTTGAGCTTACATGTGACTGCACTGGAATTTGGTAATAATGCTCAATCTTTAATAGAAGTGTGAAATGGCATTTCTTTGTTGCATCCAGCTTTTAATTGACAAATAATTTTGAGTATCAACTATTTTGTCGGACCCTCCATTATGTATTAGGGGGTGTATCTGAGAGACTTGGTTCCTGCCTACGTGTGAAATTTGCTATTAAGAGGCAGATGTTAAACCATTTATTTCAAAATCCATCCTTTAATTGCATTTAAGACAATACTTATCAAGTAAAAGTGCACAATGCAATCTAAAGGTATAACTGGGTAAGCTTTTCTTAAATATATATTTTAAAGTTTTTATATAAAATAATTATGTTAAAATGTGTAGTATTTTTATTTTAGTAATGAAGAAAAATTGCACTTTGGGGAATATTTTGTGCTAAAATGACAGAAATCCCAAATAATAATAATTTAAATTAATAACTGTGGAGATGGGCAGTGCTAAGGTCATTTATCAGTGCTGTAATATCAGGTCATGGCATCACCGTGAGCCAGTCCTCTAAACTTTCAGGTTCAGGTATCATGGCCTTACATGATATTCATCTGAAGCAGGATGAGACAGAGCAGGCAGAAAAGGAAACATTTCTGACAATGTTCTGTTATGAAGAATCCACCTTTCCTAGAAGCCCCAGCAAACCTCCCATCGGACTCATAGGTGCAAACTGGCTGAAAGGCTCATTCCAAGACCAAGCACAGGTACAAGGGCCAAAACTGGCTAGAACAGGCATGACTCACCTTTTCAGCTTCTCAGTCATCTCCTCTCAAGGGCACAGGTCTGTTTGGTTGGTTTGTGAATAAAACTGGGGGACTGTTATTATGGAAGAAGCAGTGATAAGACCCTTTCCATAAAGAGGAGAGACGTGAACTGGCATATATCACCAGGACCACCTCCAAGTAATTGACTAATAAATAAAAGCTCTATTAGTAAGAATTATGGAATTTCTGTCTCATTTTTATCTCATGAAAAATGGTTCAAGATCCATTGGTTTCAATCTATAGTTCAAAAGGAATCCAGTCTCTTTTAAACAGCAAGGAGAAAATAAATAAATAAATCTCACGGACAACAGGGGTATTGCTTCACATGGCCTCACGGTGGCACTGTTGAAGAGTCATTCTGTGCAGATCCATGGGCTGCGTTGTTCAGGACTGCCTAGATCCCTGTGCTCAGGCACAGTTGGGTGCCAAATTATTGTCCTTTCAGAGTCATATACATCTTTAGCCATTTTCTTCGAATCACCACCTCTGTTCCATGAAGAATCCTGCAATCAGCTGCATGTTTTTTTGAAGCCAACTCTTTGAAATGAACTCTTACCACCTTTAACTGAGCCAGGTCACTGACTTCTTCCCACAAAGCAATTTTATTTCATAGATATGCAACTGAAGTTAGAGGAAATGCAGCATCCACTTCCACCCTACTGAGAGATCCTGGATTCTCTATGAAAATTAAGATTTCTACCTTCCAGAGTCAATTTTGTATGCCAAAAAGGGTAGGCCACTGAATACCCTTTTTGGCATACTCTGAATACCATAATTTTGTATGCCACTGAAATAACTGTATGAGAAGAGGAATTTCTCTGCCCTTTTCTATCTCCGTTTACTGGATAGAGTTCAATCTTTTGAGGAAATGAAGGCATGAATGAGTGTGGCTACTCAGATATTTGTCATATGAAAATTTTAAGAAAATAAATGTTTATATAACTAAGAGGGATGGTTCAAGTGACTTTCCTAGAGAAAACTTCAGCTGTGTCATTGTTTTCCTGCCTAGAAGAAGGTAAGACAGACGCAATTTTATACACACTGTCAATGACAACCTCGTGTACTCTAAGTCTTAGGAGGCATCCTAAAAGTCTCTTAAGAGATGCCACCTGTGCTTATCAGAGAGGAGCAGAATATGAAGAAAAAAACCCAAACTTTCAAATTCTTAAATACAAAAATATTGTTAAATAAAAAAACTACATCTCAGCCTGTGATGTTGCAATGCAGATTGGCTCACTACTGCAACAATGCTCAAGTCTGTGCCTTCTGCACATTTTTCTAATACATTCTAGGCAATCTCCAAACTCCTTGGGCCCTTCATTTCCAAACTTAAATAACTTTCTTATAACAGCCCTAGTGAACAAATATACCTATTTTTATTTGCTCCTCTGTTTGGTTTTTTTTTCTGTTTGGGGAATTCCCCAACTGAAGATTCTTTGTAGGAAGCAAAAATTACCACCCACTCCATAATATGAAATTGCCAGGGCCTTCTCCAACTCCCGTGCAGCTAGGGTGTAAGAGCCCAGCCTCGCCAAGAGAAGAACCTGAGCTGGCTTTTGTTTCAGGACATGTAAATGCAGCAAAGTCTTATGAAGACGTGATGGTAAATTTTAGGTGTCAACTTGACTGTATTAAGGGATATCCAGATAGCTCATAAAGCATTATTTCTGGGTGTATTAGTCCAGTCTCATGTTGCTAATAAAGACATATTCGAGACTGGGTAACTTATAAAGAAAAGATGTTTAATGGTCTCATAGTTTCACATGGCTGGGGAGGCTTCACAATCGTGATGGAAGATGAAGGAAGAGCAAAGCCATGTCTTACATGGTGGCAGACAGGAGAGAGCTTGTCCAAGGGGACTCCCATTTATGAAACCATCAGATCTTGTGAGACTTATTCACTACTACAAGAACAGTATGGGGGAAACTGCCCCCATGATTCAATTATCTCTACCTGTCCCTGCCCTTGAAATGTGGGGATTATTACAATTCAAGGTGAGATTTGGGTGGGGACACAGCCAAACCCTATCAGTGGGTATGCCTGTGAGGGTATTTCTGGAAGACATTGGCATTTGAGTAAGTGAGCTAAGTAAGGAAGATCCACTTCACCCATTGTGGGCAGCACCATCCAATCGGCTGAGGACCAGATTGGAACAAAAAGAGGAAAGAGGAATTAGTTATCCCTACCTCTCTCTTTCTCCCTCTCTCTCCTGGAGCTGAGACGCCCACCCTCTCCTGGCCTGAGAGATCAAAATTTCACATTTTCCAGACTTCAGACTCCAAGGCTTGCGCCAGTGGCCTTTGGGTTCTCAGGCCTTGACCTCAGACTGAGAGCTACACCATTTTCTCCCCCTAGTTCTGAGGCCTTCAGATGTGGACTGAGCCATGCTGGCAGCTTTCCTGGTTCTCCAGCTTGCAGACAGCATATTGTGAGATTTCTCAACATCCTAATTGTACCTGGTTCTCCCCCCAAAATCCCCTCTTATCTATCTATCTATCTATCTCTATTTAGTCTATCCATTTACCCATCCATCCACCCATCCATGTATCTATGTATCAATGTATTTATGTATCTATTTCTATCTAATCTATTCATCCACCCATTCATCCATCCATCCATTCATCCATCCATCTATCCATCCATCCACCCATGTATCTATGTATCTATGTAATGTATGTATGAATCTATTTATCCACCTATCCATCTATTTATCTAACTGGCTGTCTATCTGTCAGTCCGCCCATCTGTCCATCTGTCCATTCATCCATCCATCCATCCATCTATCTGCCTATCTATCTATCTCCTATTGGTTCTATTTCTCTGGGGAACTGTAATGCAGAGGGGCATAATTTCTGGAAGGATGGTGCATCTGCAGTGTTTACACCATTTTTCCCAGGGTATCAGTGGGAGTGGTTTCAGCTGCAGTGCTCACAGCCTTCTGTTAATGGTCTTCCCCCAGCACTTGCCTTCCTGGTCCCCTGATGGGACTAATACTTTAGCATCACTTGGGGCATTTTCCCTCCTTGGGTATCCTCTAAGCCTTTCCTTACTATCCTCCTGTGATTACATGAGCCTACCCAGTATCACATTAGTGCATCTCCATTCTCTGTAAAATAACCAGAGGTTCTTTCCCTTGCTTACAACTGAGAAACCTGGATGATTCAAATAAGATTTACAATAACTTCAGGTTTCTTCCATGGACAGCAAGTCTCTTTTACCGAAGCCACACAGAGTTCAACATGACATAGCCTGGTCGTTGTCTTTGTTTGTGGGACACAGAACCACCACCACACCACCCAGTGTTCAATGCTCTGCCCCATCCACAAGGAAATGTGGCGTAATTTCAGATTTCAGAGAGGAAGAAAGAACACTAGAATAAAACAGAACAAAACAGAATAGTTTAGCCTGATTTGGGCTCTACTACCTACAAGTCATATGATAATTTCACTGATCTTATAATTTCTCCATCCATGGACAGAATCAGCAATCTGCAGTCGATGGGTCCAACCATGGTATCATGTGTCTTTTTGTAAATGAAGTTATTTTAGATCATACCCACGGACGTTTGCTTACAAATTGTCTATGGCTGCTTCTGCTAGACAATGGAAGAGCTCAATAGTTGTGGCACATACTGTCCTGAAAAGTGTAAAGCATTTACTCTCTGTTCCTTTATGTAGAAGTGTGCTAACTCCACCTATGGAATGCAGATAACTCAAGCCTGCTTCTCAGTCTCTTGTGGGGCTCTTCCCCTACCCTCCTCCAACTGCTGTCCTTACAGTGCTGGACCAACTTCTTGCCTTTCTCAGAAAGTGGGGACATATTTTTCATCTCTATGCATGTGCACCTTGCTCTTCCTTCCATGTGAGATATCCTTAGACTTTCTTTCCTTGTCCCATTTCCCCTTGGCCTTCACGATACAACTGAAAATGATTTTGTGTCATGCCAGCTTTTCAGGTCCCTTCTCTAAGGTCAGTGGCATCCTGCCCTTGCCTCTATCCGCTTGTATAATTTTTTTGAGCCACTAATATGAAAACACCCAGCAAAGGATCACATCCTTCCTTTTCTCCTTTCTTGCATGTATCCCAACCAAAATCCTGGGTCATGTGTATGGGCTTTGGCTACACAGAAACCCTGAAAACTGTGGCAGTCGCAGTAACTGTGGGAAAACTTACATTGCCCATAGTTGCCAGGTGGGTCCACTCACAATCTCCAAAACTTTATTAACAACCATGGTATAACCTAAGGAAAGAGTTAAAATTAATGACAAGAAAAGTTAACAATGTAACTCCTGTGTTTTGTCCTTGACAAAAGTTCCTACGAGCTACATCTATAGGATTCTCTGGGGAGTGGTGCACTCTGATGATCACAGCTATACTGTATTTTCAACGTGTCCTTTCTCTCTCTCTCTCTCTCTCAGAAATTTTCTTGTGTTGATTAGACTAAATTAAAATCAGGGGTATAATGAATACATTGCAGGTACAAACAAGGATTTTATAGGCAAATCATTGAATATGGAAGCCTTGATATCATTCATGCTGATGGGATTCTCCTTTTACTGATAATCTTGTAGGAAGAAATGAGGCTAATGAGGGATGGGGCTGAAGAGGAGGAAATAAAGTGAAATTAACAACAAGTTTTGTAGAGTGTATGTAACAGTCCTAAAGGCCAACTGGGTCAAAGAACCGTGGGGCCAGCAGAACTTCTAGTTGCATTTGACTGGCCAGAGCACATGGATAGGATCATGCACTGAAGTCGCATAACAATCTCCAATTTTCCAAGTTTATTTATAAATCTGAATGCCAACGAGAAATCCAGGCAAAGGCTGACAGTCATTTTTTTCCTTGGTTCACAGCCATATTCCTAGTCCATGTAAATATATTGTGTTCATTTGAGCTTTGGTCTGCATTACACAGGTTAAAAATAGAGAAATCTTTCCCCAAATGGCAACTATTCTACGATCTAAGCTCTCCCTGCATGCACCAAATTGTCTCATAATCTCTCATTAAGCAGCAGTGAAATAAAAACACACAATTAGGAATAATTTTAATTATAAACTGCCCTCCCAGAGAGAACTTAAATTACAGTTAAAACATAGAAAATCAAATAAAATCCAAGAAAATATCAAAGAGCAAATAGAAGTCTCAAATAAAAGGTCCTTGCACAGAAAGCAGATTGCAGATAATTAGAAATAAAGCTGGAGATTCAATTACTTGGCTTTTCTTCTAAGAAGCTGATATTTATTTTTTACAATATGTCTGATTTTTAAAAAATCAATAAGTCACAATAATGGGAAAATGTTGAAATAATTCATTGTACTTAAATATTGAAATACAAATAATAGCATCATGCCATTTAAAATAATATATGATAGCAGCATTTACATTCAGGAATGAATGTTCCACAAACTTGCTTTCAAAAAGCCTTACTATCTTAACTGGGCTTCATGAATTTTAACTTTATGAAACAGGCACAATTATAAGATTGTTAAAAAAAGTAAGCAAAGGAATCCAACATTCACATATAGATGGAATAGAACTCATAATACAAATACTGGTGAAAATTACTACTTTTTAATATTTGTATATGTTCTTTTTAACTTTTCATATAAGCAATAAAAATAAAATATTGTATCAAAAAATAGCTACAATATGATTGAGCCCTATGAGAATTGCTGTAGTTTACCAAGTTTTAGACAAAGCAAGACAAATATCTATAAAATAAGTAATTTTTCTTCACTCACTTTACTACTTTTGACAGGAATTCATAGATTTCTATTTTCATCTCCATCAAAACATAACCATAAAAGGCTCGAATGACTTACATGATTCTCTTCATGAGATCTTAGTCTGTTTGGGATGCTATCACAAGATGCCATAAACTCAGTAGTTTAAAAAGCATGAATTTACTTCTCACAGCTCTGGAGGCTGAGTATTTAAGATAGAAAGCTGATGGATTCCACACCTGGTGAGGTCTCACTACCTCATTCACAAAGATAGCCTTCTCCCTGTGTCCTCGCATGGTGGAAGGGAAAGGTTCTGGTCTTTCCAGCCCCCTTTAAAGGCACTCATTCCATTGTGAGGCTCTACATTCATGGCCTAATCACCTTCCAATGGCCTCATCTCCTAACAGCATCACCTTCAAGACAGGCTTGGACATACGAATTTTGGTGAGGCGCACGCATTCAGACCATAGCATAGAGTGATCATCATCAGTGGTGTTTTAAAAGCTCTCGGGAGGCCAGACTGTCTCCTATATCCCAGTGTTTAAAGAATTTCGAAATCAAGACATTACACATCTTTATCTCTGTCTATCATGCATTTCCTTTGAACAATTTACTCCTTCCTCCTTCTTTTCCATCCTCTGTGGAGTAGTGGAGCTTGAGCACTCCCACATCCTCAAATCCATCATAGCATAAGTAAAGGTCATGAGTGCAACATGCTCTCAAGGTAAAATAGATAGCACATCCCTTTGTATTCTTAAATAGGCTTCAGTCTGGCTAAGCCTCCACCCATCAGGGATGGTAGAAAATGCAGTTGAGTAACTTTGAGGGAGATCTTCCCTCACTGTCTGTGATTGTCAGGAACGTAGAGACTTGTGCAAGCTGGAAGAATTGAAGAAACCCCTGGTCCTGAGTTCACCCGGGCTACTGCTCCTGGGGTCTCCTGTTTGACATCCATAGTTTCTGCTCAGAGAGAGCCAGCTCCCTTCCTTCAAGCTGAGCTGGAGATGAAGAGCCTCTGCAGAGGAAACAGATGCCCAGCTGCCTGCGCAGGCTCGGAGCTCCACCCGCTTGATGTTCTAGGGTGCTCAGGATGCTGGGTCCACACGGGGGAAATCCACAACCCATCTTTCACATCATCTGGGCCAATCCCCTTAGTTACTCCACCTCAATCTGCCCACTCTCCATAATTGCAACCCTCCTCTCTCTGGGAAATACCAGCCACTTAGAATCAAGAGTCTAGACATTCAGAGGCTGGGCGTGGTGGCTGGCGCCTGTAATCCCAGCATTTTGGGAGGCCAAGGTGGGAGGATCCCTTGAGGCCAGGAGTTCAAGACCCACCTGGGCAACATAACAAAAACCTCTCTCTAAAAAAATAGGAAAATTTGCCGGGCATGGCAGCATGTGCCTGTAGTCGCAGCTCCCTGAGAGGCTGAGGTAGGAGAATTTCCTGAGCCCAGGAGTTTGAGGCTGCACCATGAGCTGTGATGGGGCCACTGCCCTCCAGCTTGGGAAACGGAGCAAGACTTTGTCTGGGAAAAAACAGAAAAAAAAAAGAGTCTACACAATCTGAAATTAAGCTCTCCTAATAATTTACTTTGCTGTCAAAGACAAGCTTTTCCCTTCAGGAAAGAAAACTCCAGCTCGGGTTTCGGGTTTCTTTCTTCAGAGGGGTGTGGACAACCCTTATTCATCCATGATAATTCTTCTAATAAGAAATCAAGGAACAATCATTTTTTTCCTTGAAGCCATCTGAATCCATAGAACTTTCTCTTTCTAAGATGATTATCAGTCTTGGGCACACGTTTAAATCACCCGGAGACTTTTAAAACTCCCAGGCCCCCAGTCCAGGCTGCCCCAATCCGAACTTCTGTAGATGGGTCTTGGGCATCACGAAAGGGCAGGTAAGCCATCCTCAGGTGATTCTCTTGTGCAGTAAGCACTGAGAACTGCTGTTCTACAGCATGAGTTTCCATTACTCGAACAGAATCGTTGGTAACTGGTTCATGAGGATAGAGGCTTTGTATTGTGTTAACTGTTCTGCAAGGATCGTATGCATCCAGATGATGTTCTAGGAACTGTAAATATTAAGGGAAAAAACAGAAAACGTGACTGGGCATTGCCCACAAAGTACAACAGTTTTATGCTTTGTTTATCATAATATAGGCAAAAAGGAAAAATAAAGATTTATAAAATTAATATTTATAAAACAATATAAACATTACAAATTATAAATATTTTATTTATTTATAAAATAAATCAATGAGCAGGTATAAGAGATTGTCCTTAGAGATAAAAGCTAATATTAATTGACTACATATGGCAAAAAGCATGTTGGTATTGCTAAAATTGGTGGTGATGGACAGAGAATTATCAGCTTATGAGGGTTGCCTATTGTGCAGAGAAGGAAGGATTAATGCAGGAACAGGGCTCTGAAGATTTGATTCACTGTCTGTCTGCCAATGGCTCAAGCATACAGTGATCAGGTACAAGAGATTGCTCTTAGAGATAGAAACTAACATGAATTAACTACATATAGTGAAAAGCATATTGGTACTGATAAAACTGGTGGTGATAGACAGAGAATATCAGCTTATGAGGAAGAAGAGGGGACGCTGACTCCCCAGAAGCCATTCAATCCCCAGCCTCCCTTCACCCCTCCCACCTGCATGAGGCTGCTGCAGCTCTGTGGCACCAAAAACCATTGGCTCCCAGGATTCTACAGTCCAGACCGAAGTTCTGACTTCCTGCTCACAAGCTGTGTAAACCTGGATAAGTTACTTAACTTCTCTGTGCTTCTTACTGTCGCCTCAATTGTAAGACTGGTTTAACGATAGTGATTTGTTACCATGAGGGTTATAAAAGTAAACATTAACAGAGTGCTTAGATCAGTGCTTGGAAGGGCAAAAAAATGGTCCAAGATTTATTATGTGATACATTTATTCTAGTTGGGATCAAAGGCCGAGGTTGGTCAAAAATCTTAGAGGTTTACCAATACTACAATAACTTTCGTTACTAAAATTGGTTTTGGAAAAAAATATGCCTTTGTGGTTTTGAGAATGAAGCTCTCTGCCCCATCCCTGCAGCATTGTCCAGAGCTCTGGATTTTATGCAGGTGAGGCTCCACAGGTATAGAAGCCTCTGCTCATCTGTAGCAGTGAGCATGGTCTATGCTCTCTTTATTGCTCCTGGGCTGGATGGGATGTTGGAACCTTTGCAGGATAGTGCTGTGGGTGGACCTTGATTGATCCTGCTGCACATCCTGTCTGTGCTACTAACACTTGAGTTAATATCACAATAATATTGCTTGCCACTTATACATATGTGCAAATGGGAAGCCATCAGGATTAATGAACAGTGCTGGGCCTGGGAGATTAGATATAGATGCTCTTATAACTTACCGGTATATTTCCATATCTCTTCCTTTACAATGATTATGTATTACTTATATTAAAACTTGGAAAACAAAAATCCTGTTTTCAAAGATTTTAATGGTCCCACAAATTCTTAAGACATAATACTAAGTGGAAAAGCAATACAAATTATCTTAATAGTATCTTCTTTAAAATATACATATAGAAAAACTACTGGAAGTTAATACTGTTTATTTCAGGGATACAGGGGTTTGGGTACTTATATTTCCTTCTTTAGTTGTAATGAAAATTTTAAATTTAAATGACAAAACAGCTCCTTTACAATGGGAATTTGTATGTCCTAATCAAAAGACATGTTTAACTTACAAAAGAAATGGCATCATCAATTTTATCTATTGTACAAACTTTTAAAGAGTTCCTGTTACTAATGCTTAGGATTGTGTTGCTTGAACCTTCCGAAAACTACATATGCAGGAGAACTGTTGGCTCCTTTTTTCCTTCAATTACTGAGTTCTCTATTCTTGACATTCTGCTGAGTCTGTTAGATGATGGAAAAAAGCATATAGAATGTCTGGTACTTTTTGCTCAAGAGAGAAGGCATTAAATGTGATACTGGGTATTTTTCCAAATGTCTTAAATTGGGCTGCTAAGGTGTATGGGCTTGGCAGTCTTGACTTTGCTATAGGAGTCTTTTGGGAATGTACTGAGTGTGTCACGCAGTGTTGGAGGAAACTTTTTGACCTAGAGTCTTGCTTAATATTCACGTGACTGACTCTGCACAGAAGGTTGAAGCTGGCTGCTTCAAAGGGTCAACTATTGTGTGGGGAAGGAAGGATTAATGCAGAAACAGAGCTCTGAAGACTCGATTCCCTGTCTGTCAATGGCTCAAGCACACAATGATCAGGTACAGGAGATTGTCCTTAGAAATAGAAACTAATATTAATTACTGAAAACCTTTTATGCCATGATTAGCATAGAACTCACAGTACTTATGAAATTAGCCATGGTTCACAGTTCATCCTTTCTGACTTCGAATAAGGTTAAGATATGAGACTGGGCTGGGCGCGGTGGCTCACGCCTGTAATCCCAGCACTTTGGGAGGCCGAGGTGGGTGGATCACAAGGTGATGAGTTCAAGACCAGCCTGGCCAACATGGTGAAACGCTGTCTCTACTAAAAACTACAAAAATTAGCTTGGCATGGTGGCACATGCCTGTGGTCCTGTCTACTTGGGAGGCTGAGGCAGAAGAATTGCTTGAACCTGGGAGGCAGAAGTTGCAGGGAACCGTGATCGCTTCACTGCACTCCAGCCTGGGTGACAGGGCGAGACTCTGTCTCAAAAAAAAAAAAAAAAAATGAGACTGAACTTTACCAAGCAATGCAATTCAAAACAACGAAACTAGCATTTCAATACAATGAGAAAAACACATATTTGGAAACCAATGAAACCGCCAAAATAAAATATTTGATTGAGCATGACTGTGGACACAAATCCACCTCCCTAGGACAACGTGCATGTGGGATGTCTTGTGTATATTGGAAGCAGTTCCAGGAGTGAATGAACTAAATTCGTTTCCCTTGAGCTGATGACTTTTGTTCTATATTAAGCAATTCTTATAATGCACTAAATCTCAAAATAAAATTAATTAAATGTCCTCTCTAACCCTTCCTCAGATAATATTCTACTTTGAAGAACACCAGTAGACCGAAGCAAGATGACTAATTTTTAATGCCAAAGTATGCAAAACCTGCCACTTCACTGGCAAGCCATGAATTATTCATAAATATAGACTTGGTTAATATCTTTAAAAATGCAGCATATTTTGCCTTGTGATTTCTAGCTTCGATAACAGTTTTGGAATCATGACATATGAACCAAATTACAACAAGCCCCCATATTTATTTTCTGTAGACTAGGGAAATATGTTTACTGACTCAGTAAGAGATCATCAATAGATACCCGAAATAAGGAAATTAAACTCATCTTTTGCACAGCAGTTTTGCCAGTATTTGTGCTAGGAACACTGAAATAAAGAATGTATCATTTTAGGGAAATGTTTATTATCTGTTTTAACAGCTGAAGAATATTATTCAGTGGTTTCTCACTAGCTTTGCCTAAAAATTTTGATTAAATTGTGGGCCTCTCCACTGAGCAGGAGACACTAATATCAAATGTGTGTGCATAAACTGGAATGACAAATCCCTTAGTCTCAGAATCATTGAGCTGGAAGGGGTACCCCACCACCATCTCTCCCTATAGCTAGTTTAGACTTAAGTTTTCAAAATGCATTTATTTTCTTAATTCACTGACCTACCCCAATCTCTTGCTTCTCAAATAATTCTGTTCTTTATAAGGGGTTTTTCAGATTGAATTTGACTTCCTCAGCTCCAGGCCACACAGAGTATTGTGCATACTTAATCATAAATTAATGTTTTTATGACTGTTCTAAAGAGATTACTATGGATTCCATCTCCAATGCCTCACAGTTACATTATTTTCGCATACTTATAATTACCTGGAAAGGTTTTTAGATGGGATGCAGTTTTTATGGGCCATAAATACTTGATGTAATCTATATTTTGTTTGGTCACATTTTGTTTATTTCTGTTGTGGATGCAAAATATCAGAACAATTTAAGATCTTACTGAATGAGAAACTTGAACAGAAATAATGACCTAGTATCTGCCATTTTTATTCTAACTAAATAAAATCAAAATATCATTTAAACATGCAATAAAAAATAAACATTACATGAGAAAGTTACAAGAACACATGTTATTAAAACCAAAGTAGGTGAGTAAGAATATTAACAAGGCTATGTTGAGCTGGATCTTTTAAACCCGACTGCTAATGAGATCAGGCATTAGGAAGTGAGTCTTCAGTTAGAAACACTGTATTTGAATTTCGTCTTCTAGATGAGAGTGGCTGCAGCTTAGACACTGGGTAAGAGAACGGGAGGGTCCCCAGCTTGGGAACCTCAGCCTGTCTGGCTCCTGCCTTCCTCCTTCAGCCCTAGAACAAAGAAGAAGGTAATTTAGGTGATTTCTGGCTTTTTGCTACACTCCCTCAAGGCGAAGGAAAGGGAACTGGTCTTGTGCTCTGACTTTGAATATTCACAAGAACATTATCAAATAGTTGTTGCTATCATTCCCCAGCGAACATATGCGGAGGTGAACATGACCTGTGATTTCAGAGCTGGGAAGAGACCTTGGGCTTTCATTCAGGAGGAGTCCAAGGAAATGAGGAGTTTTCTGTCAGGGCTGACAAAGAAACATTGGGAGAAGCTTCGCCTAAATTTTCTGCCTCACTGAAGGTTTTTGCGACCAGCAAAAACGAGGACATAAGAATAAGAGTCTTCTTGGTTTTAATCTCACCTCTCTGCCTCCTAGCGGTGTGACCTTGGTCAAGTTGTTCTGTTTCTTGCTGAAATAGTAAAATCTCCTGTGTATAGGGGTGTGTGTGTATGTATTAAATTTAATGATATAACATACGTGAAGGGTCTGGTTCATGGACAGCCTCCAACACCTGGTGTGCAGCAAAGAAAGAGCAGCTGGGCTGAAATTGTCATCTGTAGAAAGGCCTGTTGTCAAGGTTGGCCCTTTTCATCTGGAAACTTGTCTCTCAATGTCAATAGTTCACTGATAAGAGCGCCCAGTGTGCCTAAACTGCTTGTGCAAATGATATTGTTTATGTGAACACCTGCTTTTCCTCTGGGGAGTCTGGAATTTGGGGACTTCTCAAAAGAAAGAAGCAGGTGTTCACATAAACCATACCCTCTGCTAGACAGAGGGTGTCTACATGACCAGCCCACAGTAAAACTCCTGGGCACTGAGTCTTTAACAGATTTCCCTTCGTTGAAACACAGTATTCATGTTTCAGCACTTTTACTGTTGGGGGAAGAGTGTGCTTTGTGTGACCTTTGTGGGAGAGAGATTATGAGAATCCTGCACATGGATTCTACTGACTCCACCAGTATAACCCACGTGGTTTGACTGAATACCTGACCAATATTGCAGTAATAAAACTTAGCTGTATAAACAATATGTGCAGAGCCCTATGAATCTTTCTGAAAAGGCAGGTGGTCCTAGGAACCCCAGAAACTAGCAGGGCTTATTACTATCACACCGTGAACTTCCCTATGGCGTATCCTTATTTTACCCCTTTCTGAATCTCTTACAGGTCAAGGAAAAAGGCTCAATAAAACACTTTCGTAATTGAGCTAAATTTTCATTTTTGGCCTGTGGGTTATACTTTAAAATTAGGCCCAAATTTACTGAAGGACATACATTTTTTTGTATGAAAAGACTTCCAATACCCTAGTCCTGTCTAAGACATTGCATTAAAAGAGTACATTCCTCTAGGAGAACTTTATTAGGATTGTTATAGCTAAATCTGGTAAGGTATCATTTGCAGCAGACTTAAGGATCTTGGAGTACAAGACTCTGGCAGATTTTTAGGACCATGCAGTGTTCCGGGATGGGTGTCACTCCCAATTATGGCGCTGTCACAGTGTTCTTGGCCCTATGCTCAGCATTTTACAAGCTTCACCTCACTTAATTCTGATGACAATCCAAGGAGGAAGGTTCTACCATTATACTCATTTTATATAGAAGGGAACTGAGAGAATTTAAATAGCTTGAGGCTAAGTAATGTTTTCAAGTCCACACAACTGTCAAGTGTCAGAGCTGGTATCCAACCAAACTTCATCTGACCCCAGACCCTAAGGCCTCTACATCCTGCCTTTCACAAGATATTGTTTGATAGTTTCAGGGAAATCGTTGAAAACCAGAGACAAAAATATAATCCTTGAAGGCTTTGTGGAAAATCACATCTATTCCTAAAGTATGCACTTTCACAAAATGTTGTTTCTCCTATTTGATCTTGTTTTTAGTGTGTCAGTTTTAAATACAACCCATGTCTTCCCCACAGGTGCAGGGACCTCTTTCTTTCCTTTCTTTCTTTCTTTCCCTTCTTTCTTTCTTTCTTTCTTTCTTTCCTTCCTTCCTTTCTTCCTTCCTTCCTCCCTCCTTCCCTCCCTCCTTCCCTCCCTCCTTCCTTCCTTCCTCTCTCTCTCTCTCTCTTTCTCTCTCTCTTTCTCTTTCTTTCTTTCTCTCTTTCTTTTCTTTCTTTCTTTCTTTCTTTCTTTCTTTCTTTCTTTCTTTCTTTCTTTCTTTCCTTCCTTCCTTCCTTCCTTCCTTCCTTCCTTCCTTCTTTCTTTCTTTCTTTTCTTTCTTTTCTTTCTTTCTTTCTTAGACTGAGTCTCGCTCTGTCGCCCAGGCTGGAGTGCAGTGGCGCAATCTCAGCTCACTGCAAGCTCTGCCTCCCGGATTCACACCATTCTCCTGTCTCAGTCTCCTGAGTAGCTGGGACTACAGGCGCCCACCACCATGCCTGGCTAATGTTTTGCATTTTTCATACAGACGGGGTTTCACTGTGTTAGCCAGGATGGTCTCGATCTGCTGAGCTCGTGATCCTCCCGCCTCGGCCTCCCAGAGTGCTGGGATTACAGGCGTGAGCCACCGCGCCCAGCCCAGGGAGCTCTTTCTTTCTCACTTGTCATCCGGGTCAACAAATGCAGCAGTGCAGGTTGAATATCCATAATCCAAAAATCCAAAATCCCAAATTCTCCAAAATCTGGAACTTTTTCAGCACTGGTGCTCAAAGGAAACGTTCACTGAAGGGTTCTGGATTTCAGATTTTCAGATGAGGGATGTTCAATGATAAGTATAATACAAGTATTCTAAAACTGAAAAAATCAGTTTCCAAATATGATAAATATAATACAAATATTCCAAAACTGAAAAAATGCTTGGGACTGAAATGCTTCCAGTCCCCAGCATTTTGGATAAGGGGTACTCAACTGTATCTGCTCTACTGAGATCTGTTACCATATGGGAGGTGGGGATGCAACACTTATTCTAACACTTTGAAATAGGGATACTGCCTGCCTGCAACCTTTTGTCCACATTTCCAATCTTAGCTTCTAGCTATTAATATAAAGATAATTATATTTATGAAAAAACAGTAATAAAAATATTAATAATTTTCCAAAAACATTGATTAGGTGCTGGGAATTGTGCTAAGGGCTTTACACATATGAGTTTATTTAATCTTCCCAAGAACCACCATATGATCGGCACTTTTAATCCTTATTTTTCAGACAAAGGAACCAGAGTACAGAGGTATTAATAATTCAGCTCAAATCTCTCAGCTGGAATGTGGAAAAGCCAACATTCACTCACAGCTCTTGGTTTGACCCAAAGCTGCCTGCAATTCCCTACTATGTGATCTACAAATACAAAGACTGCAGACAGCATAACATTCTCCTGTTTGAGAAATATAGCAGCAGCCTGGGCCTTCTTACACGTTGCAGACATATGCAGCATGAAAGGAGAACAGCTTTCATAACCAACAACAAGTGTTCCAAAATACACACCTTGGAGCAGCTGCCTCCTATAGTTACAGGAAGTGGCTGGTTGGGCGTGAGCAGGGCAGGAGAGGGCTCCCTTGACCATACACACGCCAGGAGTGTTGGGTGACCACAGGTGATGGTCAGGTTGTTGCTAATACTTTCTCAAAAGTAATGATTAGCCACAGCCAGCACCAGGAAAAGGCCGTTTCCTAATAGATAGAAAACAAACGAAACTGATCAGCAGCTTTCCAATAAGATCACAGAAGTATGCCAGTGTAGAAAAGCCCCAAGTCAAGCCAGGTGCCGTAGCTCAGGCCTGTAATCCCAGCACTTTTGAGGCCAAGGTAGGTGGATCACGAGGTCAAGAGATCGAGACCATCCTGGCCAACATGGTGAAATCCCGTCTCTACTAAAAGTACTAAAATTAGCTGGGCGTGGTGGCACGTGCCTGTAGTCCTGGCTACTCGGGAGGCTGAGGCAGAAGAATCACTTGAACCCAGGAGGCGGAGATTGCAGTGAGCCGAGATCGTGCCACTGCACTCCAGCCTGGCAACAGAGTGAGACTCCATGTCAAAAAAAAAAAAGCCCCAAGTCAGGAGGTTGAGCTGTGTACTTGGTTTCTCAAGTCGCCCCCTTAGCCCTCTCCCAAGCTGTACTTTCCTTCTCTTGCCTTTCTTTCCTTTCCTTACTGTTCTAAAGTTTTTAATAAACTTTCACTCCTGCTCTGAAATTTGCCTCGGTCTCTCCTTCTGTCTTATGCCCCTTAGTAAAATTCTTTCTTCTCAAGAGGCAAGAATTAAAGTTGGTGCAGACGCATAGGGATTTGCCACTGGTAACACAGTGTAACTCTGGATACCTGTCACCGGTAACACTATGACATATTATGGCCCTTATACTAGACTTGGAGGTAATGTGCTGAATCAGTCTTTCTGCAAGACCTTCTCTGAGACAGAACTATGACCTGTTGGATTCAGATCAGGTAAATAGAGATAAATTATATTTATCCTTACACACTGAGTGTGCTTTTGAAACTCAATATATACGGTGGTGATTTTTCCCTTATCAAAACTGTGTATATATGAACAGGTCTGGTAAAACACAGGTCATTCTTTTTTTCCCTATAGGTCTTTGTTATAAATGTCTTAGCATTTTCATACAACATATTTCCTGTAATTTTTCCAAGTGAGTTTTAATTAATTTCTTTAAATAAAACATTTTATTATTATAAGGTACACATAAGATTTGTCATCTTAACCATTTGTAAGTATACACACCAGTGGTATTCAGTCCATTCATATTGTTGTGCTGCGGACTATGTATTTTGACATTAGGCACTGACCACTCCTGGGCAAAACTGAGGAAAAAAATGTGAAAACTTTCTTTTCCCCATATATCCTGAATTGTGGTCTCCAGGCATTGCAGGGACTTGGCAGAATTTGCTAGAGCATTGGAGTAACAACATTCTAATTTAAGTGCTTTAGCTCCCGAACAACTCTAAGATATAGTTAAGCTAACATTGAATGTTAGTTAGAATGTTAGATATACTTAACCTAACATTGAACAAAGCTAGTAAATACATCAGGCAATGAGCTACTTTGAGAGGCATGCAGTCTAATGGTGAAGATGATAGAGTTTTGTGCAACAAAATGAATGTCCCATAGTTTCTTTTTTAAAAAAGGTAAAGTGAACCTTATCAAAATACAAAATGCTTGCACTTCAAAAAATGTGAAGAAAATGAAAAAAAAAAGTACAGACAGAGAGAAAATATTCGTAAAATACAAATCTGATGAAGGACTTTTATCTAGAATTTACAATGAACACTTAAAAATTCAATAATAAAAAGACAAACGACTCAATCCAAAATAGGCAAATGATATGAATAGATATTTCACCAAGGAAGGTATATTAGTGGTTAATAAACATATGGAAAGATGTTCACCATCATTAGTCATTAGGAAAATGTAGGTTAAAACCACAAGCAATACTATTTCACACTTACTAGAATGACAATGGTAAATGAGAAAATGAATACAAATGGTACTTGTACAAGTGTACTTGGTAATATTAACAGAAATGTAAAATGGCACTGCCACTTTGAAAAACCATTCCTCACAAAGTTAAACGTAAAACTGCCATATGATCCAGCAATTTCACTTCTGGAAAAAGAGGTAAGATGAAAACACATGTCCATGTGAAAACTTGTGCACAAATTGTTCATAATAGAATTATTCGTAATAGGAAAAAGTAGAAACAACTGAAATTTCCATCATTAGGTACGTAGATAAGATACAATATATTCATAAGTGGAATAGTATTCAGCAATAAGAATGAATGGACTACTGACACACACAATGTCATGGGTGGACCTACGATTACCATGTTAAGTGAAAGAAGCCAGACACAAGAGAACACATATTGTATGTTTCCATTTATGTAAAATGTTCAGACAAGGCATATTTATAGAGATGGAAAAGTAGATTAGTAGTTGCCTGGAGCTGGAGATGGGACCAGGGATATATTGTAAATGGGATCTTATGGGAATATATTTTTTTTGAAATGGAGTCTCGCTTTGTTGCCCAGGTTGGAGTGCAGTGGCGTGATCTCGGCTCACTGCAACCTCCGCCTCCCAGGTTCAAGTGATTCTCCTGCCTCAGCCTCCTGAGTAGCTGGGATTATAGGCACCCACCACCACACCCAGCTAATTTTTGTGTTTTTAGTAGAGATGGGGTTTCACCATGTTGGCCAGGCTGGTCTCAAGCTCCTGACCTCAGGTGATCCACCCACCTCGGCCTCCCAAAGTGCTGGGATTACAGGCATGAGCCACCATGACCAGCTGCATATGGGAGTATTTTAAAGCTGACTTATAGTAATGCTTTCAGGACTTAGTAAATTGACTAAAAGTCATGGAACTGTGCACCTGAAATGGATGAATTTCAAATGGTCAAATATACCTCAACAAAGTTGTTTTTAAAAAACAATGATGAGATGTCTTAATTTTCTATTGCTGCTGTAACATGCTTAGCTTAAAACAGCAAAACTTTATAGTCTTACTGTTCTACAGGTCATACATCTGAGTTTTTCTGCCTTAAACCAAGATGTGGACAAGGCTGCATTCTTTTCTGGAGACTGTAGAGAAAAATTGGTTTTCTTGCTCTTTCTAGCTTCTAGAAGCTGCCCACGATTCTTGGCTCATTGCTGCCTTTATCTGTAAAGCCAGCAATGGTGGTGAGTCCTTCCCACATTGACTCACTTCGATGTGTGTTTCTCTGACCCTCCTTGGCATCCATCATCCACTTTGAAAAACCCTTGTTATTATTGAGCCCACCCAACAATTTAGGATAATTTCTCCCACTTTAAGGTCCACTTGATCACACCTCCAAATCTGTTTTGCCATATAAGGTGACACTGTCAAAGATTAGAGAAACTAGGACATCTTTGGGGGAGGGGACATTATCTGCTTAGCACACAGAGGGTCTCAGTTCAGACTTCCTGGTGAGACTGCCAGTTGCTTAGTGGTGTGACTTGGGCACATTGCCCATCCTTGCTGTGTTTCAGTGTCTTCATCTGTGTAATGACCATGATATTAGTATCTGATGCATGAATTGCTTTGAGAGATATAAATGGGTTAATGAATACAAAATGCTTAAAAATTTAACCTGTTTAATATTCATAAAGGTGCAATATATATTAGCTATTATTATTATTATATTATTGTTTAGTCCAGTTCATTAATCATTTACTTTTCTTTTTGGAGATATAAATAAGAAGGGCCCTCTATCCTGCAGAACAAAGGAGAAAGGCCCACGTTTCCTTGGCAAAAGTAACCAAGGCCTGTGTTATGCATTCAGCTGTGTTAAATCAATCTCAGTACAACTGATGGCCTGGAGGAGTCTGCTGCTATCAAATGCAGACCCAAGGAATGTAGTGAGAGAGCCTATGACTAGGAAATGTCAAAAGCACTGGGAGACCAGGCTGCTAACCCACCACAGTAGAAACAACAAACTCTGCTCATTCATTTGGAAATACAAGAGCTCTTTTAGGGGAGTGGGAAGACCAGAAAGAACTTTTTCGACTGAAAGTGATAGAAATCCCATCTGAAATTGGCAACAATATGAAGTTTATTCATGTTTATCATAACTGAAATATACAGGAAGGAGACTCCTTCAGGTATGGCTTGAACCAGTGATATGATTTTGCTGTGTCCCCACCCAAATCTAATCTTGAACTGTAGCTCCCATAATCCCCAAGTGTTGTGGGAGGCACCCAGTGGGAGATAGGGGAATCATGGGGGTGCATTTTTCTCATGCTGTTCTCATGATAGTGAATAAGTCTCATGAGATCTGATGGTTTTATAAAGAGGAGTTCCCCTGCACACATTCTGTCTTGCCTGCCACCATGTGAGATGTGACTTTGGTCCTCATTCGCCTTCCGCCATGATTGTGAGGCCTCCCCAGCCATGTGGAACTGTGAGTCAAACTTCTTTCCTTTATAAATTACCGAGTCTCATGCATGTATTATTAGCAGCATAAGAACAGACTAATACAATCAGGGATTTCTCTAATGTCACCAGCATCTGGTTACTTTCTTTTCTTCTCTTTGCATTGTTTCCCCCTACTGGTTTAATTCTTAGACAGAATCTCCCTTTCTGAAGGCACAATGGCTGTATTATCTCCAACTTTGCATTCTACCTGACTCCAGTTCCCTTAAAAAGCACAGATCCATCTTCCAACACTCCCAGACAGGGACCCGTCATTACTCATTAGCTCTGATTAGCTCTGAAATGGGCATCTATGAACCAACCACTGGGACCAGAGAAACTGAACAATCCAATTGATCAGGCCTGAGTCTCAGTCGATAGCCTTCCATGTAATAAGACAGAGGAGGCTTCCCAAACCCATAATCTGAGAGTGGGGGAGACCTGCCTACAGCAAACTAAGATGTTATTACTGGGAAAAGGGAAGGGCTCGGGGACTGCTGATAAAGAACAAATGTGCACCACGAAGCAGCCAGAAGGCCCCATACCTTGAGAACAGATTTGCATATCCCACAGTGTCTTTAGCTTTGATTCATGCAGTCAGGTCATTTCAAGCCAAGCCCTGTGAAAAAAAGGGTCTGTGGGGAAGAAAAGATCAGATTTCTTAGGGGAAAAAGGAGGTAACATAATTAGGTCAGTTCCACAGGGTCTGCTTACATAGAGGAGCAAGGTTATGGCTCGGCATAGTGAGAAGAGCCTATTTCAAAGTGGGATGAGACTCTTCCAGAGTAGGGAGCGGATGGCTGCTAAAGGGAGTTTATCAGTTTGGATCCAAGCAGGAAAAATGAAGTTATGGTGGTTACTTTAACAGAAATAGAGTTGGTTAAATAGATACTGATGGACTAAATGGGCAAAAGGGAGACTTAGGTAACAGTTCTAGTAAATGACAGAAGCAGTTCCCTAGTGATATTATTTGGATCTGTGTCCCTACCCAAACCTCTTGTCTAATTGTAATACCCAGTGTTGGAAGTGCAGTCTGGTAGGAGGTGATAGGATTATGGTGGTGGAGTTCTCATTAATGATGTAACACCTTCCCCCCTCGGTATAATGAGTGAGTTCTCATTAGATCTGGTTGTTTAAAAATGTGCACCACCAGCCCATGGAGGGTGAAGCAAAGCAGGGCGGGGCATCACCTCACCTGGGAAGCACAAGAGGTCAGGGAATTTTCCTTTCCTAGCCAAGGGAAGCTATGACAGACTGTACCTGGAAAATTGGTACACTCTGCCCAAATACTGTGCTTTTCCAATGGTCTTAGCAACCGGCAAACCAGGAAATTCTCTCCCGTGCCTGGCTCGGTGGGTCCCATGCCCACAGAGCCTTGCTCACGGCTAGCGCAGCAGTCTGAGATCACCTGTGAGGCTGCAGCCTGGCACGGGGAGGGGCTTCCACCATTGCTGAGGCTTGAGTAGGTAAACAAAGAGGCTAGGAAGCTCGAACTGGGCAGAGCCCACTATAGCTCAACAGGGCCTACTGCCTTTATAGACTCCATGACTGTGGGCAGGCCATAGCTGAACAAAAGGCAGCAGAAACTTCTGCAGACTTAAATGCCCCTGTCTGGTAGCCCTGAAGAGAGCAGTGGTTCTCCCAAGATGGTGTTTGAGCTCTGAGAACGGATATACTGCCTCCTCAAGTGGGTCCCTGACCCCCATGTAGCCTAACTGGGAGGCAACTCCCAGTAGGGGCCAACAGACACCTCATACAGGTTGGTGCCCCTCTGGGACGAAGCTTGTAGAGGAAGGATCAGGCAGCAATATTTGCTGTTCTGCAATATTTGCTGTTCTGCAGCCTCTGCTGATGATACCCAGGCAAACAGGGTCTGGAATGGACCTCCAGCAAACTCCAACAGACCTGCAGCTCAGGGACCTGACTGTTAGAAGGCAAACTAACAAACAGAAAGGAATGGCACCAACATCAACAAAAAGGACATCCACACTAAAACCTCATCTGTAGGTCACCAACATCAAAGACCAAAGGTACATAAAACCGCAAAGATAGGGAGAAACCAGAGCAGAAAACCTGAAAATTCTAAAAACCGGAGCACCTCTTCTCTTCCAAATGATCGCAGCTCCTCGCCAGCAGCAGAACAAAGCTGGACGGAGAATGACTTTGATGAGTTGACAGAAGTAGGCTTCAGAAGGTCGGTAATAACAAACTTCTCTGAGCTAAATGAGCATGTTCTAACCCATCACAAGGAAGCTACAAACATTGAAAAAAGGTTAGACGAATGGCTAACTAGAATAAACAGTGTAGAGAAGACCTCAGATGACCTGATGGAGCTGAAAACCATGACATGAGAACTTCGTGATGCATGCACAAGCTTCAATAGCCGATTAGATCAAGTGGAAGAAAGAATATCAGTGATTGAAGATCAAATTAATGAAATAAAGTGAGAAGACAAGCTTAGAGAAAAAAGAGTAAAAAGAAATGAACAAAGCTTCCAAGAAACATGGGACTATGTGAAAAGACCCAATCTACATTTGATTGGTGTACTTGAAAGTGATGGGGAGAATGGAACCAAGCTGGAAAACACTCTTCAGGATATTATCCAGGAGAACTTCCCCAACCTAGCAAGGCAGGCCAACATTCAAATTCAGGAAATACAGAGAACACCACACAGATACTCCTCAAGAAGAGCAACCCCAGGACACATAATTGTCAGATTCATCAAGGTTGAAATGAAGGAAAAAATGTTAAGGGCAGCTAGAGAGAGGTCGGGTTACCCACAAAGGGAAGCCCATTAGACTAAAAGCGGATCTCTTGGCAGAAAGCCTACAAGACAGAAGAGAGTGGAGGCCAATATTCAACATTCTTAAAGAAAAGAATTTTCAACCCAGAATTTCATATCCAGCTAAACTAAGCTTCATAAGTGAAGGAGAAATAAAATCCTTTACAGACAAGCAAATGCTGAGAGATTTTGTCACCACCAGGCTGGCCTTACAAGAGCTCCTGAAGGAAGCACTAAACATAGAAAGGAATAAACGTTTCCAGCCACTGTAAAAACATGCCAAATTGTAACGACCATTGGTGCTATAAAGAAACTGCATCAATTAATGAGCAAAATAACCAGCTAACATCATAATGACAGGATCAAATTCACACATAACGATATTAACCTTAAATGTAAATGGGCTTAATGCCCCAGTTAAAAGACACAGATTGGCAAATTGGATAAAGAGTCAACACCCATCAATGTGCTGTATTCAGGAGACCCATCTCATGTGCAGAGAGACACATTCCCTTTGAAAACTGGCACAAGACAAGGATGCCCTCTCTCACCACTCCTATTCAACATAGTGTTGGAAGTTCTGGCCAGGGCAATCAGACAAGAGAAAGAAATAAAGTGTATTCAATTAGGAAAAGAAGAAGTCAAGTTGTCCCTGTTTGCAGATGAGAGGATTATATATTTAGAGAACCCCCTCATCTCAGCCCAAAATCTCCTTAAGCTGATAAGCAACTTCAGCAGTCTCAGGATACAAAATCAATGTGCAAAAATCACAAGCATTCCTATATACCAATAACAGACAGAGAGCCAAATCATGAGTGAACTCCCATTACAATTGCTACAAAGAGAATAAAATACCTAGGAATCCAACTTACAAGGGATGTGAAGGACCTCTTCAAGGAGAACTACAAACCACTGCTCAACGAAATAAAAGAGGACACAAACAAATGGAAGAACATTCCATGCTCATGGATAGGAAGACTCAATATTGTGAAAATGGCCATACTGCCCAAGGTAATTTATAGATTCAATGCCATCCCCATCAAGCTACCAATGACTTTCTTCACAGAATTGGAAAAAACTACTTTAAACTTCATATGGAACCAAAAAAGAGCCCACATAGCAAAGACGATCCTAAGCAAAAAACAAAACAAAAAAGCTGGAGGCATCATGCTACCTGACTTCAAACTATACTACAAGGCTACAGTAACCAAAACAGCATGGTACTGGTACCAAAATAGACATATAAACCAATGGAACAGAACAGAGGCCTCAGAAATAACACCACACATCTACAACCATCTGATCTTTGACAAACCTGACAAAAAGAAGAAATGGGGAAAGGATTCCTTATTTAATAAATGGTGCTGGTAAAACTGGCTAACCATATGTAGAAAGCTGAAACTGTATCCCTTCTTTATACCTTATACAAAAATTAATTCAAGATGGATTAAAGACTTAAATTTAAGACTTAAAACCATAAAAACCCTAGAAGAAAACCTAGGCAATACCATTCAGGACATAGGCATTGGCAAAGACTTCATGACTAAAACACCAAAAGCAATGGCAACAACAGCCAAAACAGACAAATGGGATCTAATTAAACTTAAGAGCTTCTGCGCAGCAAAAGAAACTATCATCAAAGTGAACAGGCAACCTACAGAATGGGAGAAAATCTTTGCAATCTACCCATCTGTCAAAGGGCTAATATCCAGAATCTACAAATAACTTAAACAAATTTACAAGTAAAAACAAACAACCCCTTCAAAAACTGGGCAAAGGATATGAACAGACACTTCTCAAGACAAGGCATTTATGCAGCTAACAAACATAAGAAAAAATGCTCATCATCACTGGTCATCAGAGAAATGCAAATCAAAACCACAATGAGATACCATCTCACTTGAGTTAGAATGGCGATCATTAAAAAGTCAGGAAACAACAGATGCTGGAGAGGATGTGGAGAAATAGGAACGCATTTACACTGTTGGTGGGAGTGTAAATTAGTTCAACCATTGTGGAAGGCAGTGTGGTGATTCCTCAAGGATCTAGAAGTAGAAATACTATTTGACCCAGCGATCAGCGATCCCATTACTGGGTATAGACCCAAAGGATTATAAATATGCTACTGTAAAGACACATGCACATGTATGTTTATTGTGGCACTATTCACAATAGCAAAGTCTTGGAAAAAATCAAATGTCCATCAATGATAGACTGGATTAAGAAAATGTGGCACATATACACCATGGAATACTATGCAGCCATAAAAAAGGATGAGTTCATGTCCTTTGCAGGGACAAGGATAAAGCTGGAAACCATCATTCTCAGCAAACTGTCACAAGGACAGAAAACCAAACACCACATGTTCTCACTCATAGGTGGGAGTTGAACAAGAGCACATGGGCACAGGGTGGAGAACATCACACACTGGTGCTCGGGGGGTGGGGGGCTAGGGGAGGGATAGCTTTAGGAGAAATACCTAATGTAAACTATGAGTTTATGGGTGCAGCAAACCAACATGGCACATGTACACCTATGTAACAAACCTGCACGTTGTGCACATGTACCCTAGAACTTAAAGTATAATAAAAAAAAAATCAAATAAGTAAAAATTAAAAACAAACAAAAAATGTGCAGCACCTCCCTGCCACCCTTCCTCCTGCTCTGGCCTTGAGATGTCTGGCTATCCCTTTACCTTCCACCATGATTGGAAGTGTCCTGAGGCCTCACCAGAAACAGAAACCGCTATGCTTCCTATACAGCCCGCAGAACCATGAGCCTGTTAAGTCTTTTTTTCTTTATATATTACCCAGTCTCAGGTGTTTATTGCAGTGCAAGAACTGACTAATACACCTAGGCCCAGGGAAAAACAAATGGAAGAGGATGGGTTTATCAGAATCTGGAAATATGGAGGAAGAGTCACACAGATTGAAACCCAGACTCCTCTTGGGGCAGGGAAATTCTGGCTGTCTGCTGCTGGTATCTCTGAGGAGGAGAGTTGAGGTTGGTTCTGATTATGTGAGAAGAAAAATGAACAAAGACAAAAATGAACAAAAGAACACCCGGGTTTTCCCTATCTTGGTTATTGTGAATAATGAATTGTAGAAATCTGCTGTACAAGGTAGTACCCATAGTTAGCAACACAGTGTTGCACAGATAAAAACTTGTTAAGAGGGTAGACCTCATGATAAGTATTTTTATAAAACAATAAAGAGCAGAGCAAAGGGACACAGGAAACCTTTATAGGTGATGGATATGTTTATTACCTCGATTGTGTTCATGCTATTATGGGTGCCTGTGTGTGTCCACAATAATAAAAATGGACATATAATATACATGCATTTTTTTCATATCAATGGTACCTTAATAAAGCTGTAAGAACGAAAAAAGAAAAAAAAGCAAACTGGAACCAACAGCTGCTCATAGGATGAACAGCCATCGCTAGGGTCTTGCTGGCAGAACAGAAAGCAACACAAGAAAGTGTGAGTTCCTTTGCCCTCCGTTTTCTGGTCTTCCTCCAGTCCCTGCTATTGGCAGAACCTGGAGTTAGCAGTAGACAAATCTGTTCTTCACAGTCCTGGCTCTATGCAGGTGAGGGTAGAGGGTGGCTTGGAGCCAGGAGATGATGGCCAGAGGGAGAACAGCCCCGAATGGACCAGAGTTGATGGTGGAGATGGAAGGTCATTCTTATCTGTCATTCATGGGCTTTGCTGCTGTCCTTAACCTTCTCTTTGGATATTGGAATTTCTTCTTCTGCTCTTCTAATGGAGACACCCAAAGGAAGGCAGAGTGGAATTGACTCACAAATAATCAAACTCCATTAACAGCCCAATGTCCAATTTAGAGTAATTTAGCAGCTTCATATTCCACACATCCAGGAGAAAGAAAAGTCTGTAAAAAGGACAAAAATAGAGCTGGCTGCAAAAATCTGTTGGTTTTTGCCTACTCGGCACTCATTCTGGCAAAGGCTGTTCATTTCCATTTGTGGAGTCAGCCTGTGCTTATATGTGTGCATGTGTGTGTCAGTGTGTGAGTGTGCATGTGTGTGCATGTGCACGAGATTGTGCATGCTTGTGTGTGTGCATGTGTTTGTGAGTATGTGTGCATGTGTGCATGGTGCATGAGTGTTTATGGGTGTGTACGTGTGTGTGTGAGAGAGAGCACGTGTTTGGGGATGAAGAAGCCAAACCCAGCCTTCTGTTAGCTCTAGAATTGTTCCCATCATCTAAACCTTTCTTTTAAGTCTGTTTCATCATAGTGATGAGTGCAGGATACATAAAGGAGCTTTAAAAAATAGAGAAACCCAAAAAGCACAACATATGGAAATGCTGTTTAGTTTATGTATGGGCAATCTCAACTACCTGAAACGTCCCCAAATGATCACCTGCATATTTGTAAAGATGCTGCTGGTGCTGGGTAGAGAAGAGACCTTGGAACACGCTGCTGACTGCATCATCTGAAACAGGAGGAATCAAGCCAGGGGCTGGAATAACAATCCCAGGATTCCAGTGGACAGACTCTCAGGAAAGGGACCCTTAACACCCTTCTCTCCCCGAACTCCTGTCTTCCCTCATGCTTATTAGGCTAAACCCCACCAATTTTATGTAAGCCTTACATCCCCTAATTGACTCAGTTACATCCTGATCATTCTAAGAATATAATTCTCAAAGTGTAGTCCTCAGACCCATCAGCATCAGCATCAACTGGGAAGGAAACTGTTAGAAATGTAAATTATCAGTTCCCACCTCAGTTCTACTATATCAGAAACTCTGGGGCAGGGGCACAGTAATCTGCTTTAATAAATTCTCCAGGTAATTCTGATACAACAAAAATTGGGAACCTTTGGTCTAAATCTTGGTAGCCCCATTGATCTTGTCACTGCTTAGTTTGCAATATTTAAAAAGTCAATATAGTAACATAAATTAACATATAAATGAATATATAAATAAGAAATTTGAAGTTTATACTCTAGTATTTATTATTTTTTAAAAAGTATGTGTATTCCAAAACTGTTCACCAAGTGGTATAAGTTATAGTGTGACTGATTCATCAAAAAATTTTGATAATTTCCCCTATTTTTAAATTTAAAGAGCAGTTGCTGGATAGGCATACTTCTGAAGACAAAAGAAGAAAAAAGTAGTTGGTGTGTGATCTTTTGTTTGGCATGGTTTTCATTTGTTCAATGATGCTCACGTCTGAGCTAATCAGGGAATTGAATCAAATTCTTCAAATGACCTCCTTCATTAACTTGGTCATTGCATGGTTTGCAAAGTAAACAGTATTTCTGTTAAAACAGTGACATTGTCAAGGATTTCTATGAATATGGTTCAATTGCACTCTGCAGCCCCAAAGGCCATGTTCTAGAGCAGAGGATATCAAAGGAAGCGCCCCGTGAAAACCACATCCATCAGTAGTTTACCTGGCCACAGCAACATAAGCAGTGATCCCATGTCATGAAGTGGGAAGACCTAGAGACCTCAGCCACCTCCCCACTCATGGGATTGGGTAAGAAGATGCCCTGTGCCCATCCTAAAGACCTCAGCCACCTCCTCACCCATAAGGCTGGGTAAAAAGATGCCCTGTGCCTGCCCTGGAGACCTCAGCCACCTCCCACCCATGGGGCTGGGTAAAAAGATGCCCTGTGCCTGCCCTGGAGACTTCAGCCACCTCCCACCCATGGGGCTGGGTAAGAAGATGCCCTGTGCCTGTGCTTGGCCTCACTGCTCTGCCCTGCCTCCATTCTCTGAGATCCTTGGGGCTTTCTTGTATTCTTCTGGTTTGTGAAGTTGCACATTGGAATTGAGAGTTTTGGAGAAATTCTGATGGTTTTCCCTGAGAAATTATGTAATCACCCAGGTGAGGGTGTCTCATGAAAGGCTTGCCTCAGATTTTTCCAACTGAAGGGGAAAGTTTGGAAACAGAGTCCTGCAGAAGAGCTGTCTGTGCTGAAAGTGAAAGGAACCAGTTGTACTTAGTTTATGAACAGACAAGGATTACACTGGCCTTCCAGACATGTTAATTGGGAGGATTGACTAGCATTTTTCATGAGAATTCCTGTATTGGTCAAAAAGATCTCTTGGGTTGAGTCACGGAAGCCATGTCAAGGGGGCTTGAGCTAAAGGGACTGTTCGAGAAAGACACTGGGCAGGCACTCAGCTGGCTCTGGGCCCTGGCCTTTGCTGCCTTACTGGACATGGAGTGGAGGCATCAGGATCACAGGTGCTCCCTGACTACACATCTTTCAGTTACTGTAAGAGCAGAGGCCAGCTGGCTGACTCTGAATCCTGATTCTAGCTTCTGGGAGAAAGAAGGGGATCATCCCACCCATGGCCAAAGAGGCTGGCGGGGACAGAAAGTGAATAAGATAAATTATAAAGTCCATGGCATGTCAGCAAGCAGCAAGTGCTAGAGAGGACACAGGAGGCAGGGAGGGGAATAGGGGCTCCAGTCGAGGAAAAGGAATTCCCTTTTAAATAGGCATCTCAGTGAAAGCCTCACTAAGAAATGAGCTTTGAGTGGATGCCACAAGTTACGGAGTGATCAGTGTCCCTGTCTTGGGGAAGAGCTCTCTAGGAAAAGCAAGTGGCAAGTTTGGAGAGGAACAGCTGGGAGCCCAGTGGGTCTGGGCAGGGAGTGCGGGGTCAGTCCTGGGGCTGATGTCAGAGAGGTAACTGGGGACCACGGGGTCGGGTAGGGTGGGGATGAGGGGCATTGGCTTTTCCTCTCGAGGGACTGGACCAGCAGAGGGTATGAGCAAATTTTCCTTCAGGTAGCAACTATATATTTGGAAGAGGGATTTTAAGAAGCTGCTTGTTATTGTCTTCTTTCCCCCAAAATCAAACTGAGATCAAAAAATTGTAAACTATGCATGAAACAGTTAAACAAAGAAACTTGAAGTTGACAAGGTCTTTTTAAATAGGACACATCATCTAGAGGCCACTAAGTAAAACATTAGAAGACCTGACTATAGGCCGGGCGCGGTGGCTCACGCCTGTAATCCCAGCACTTTGGGAGGCCGAGGCGGGCAGATCATGAGGTCAGGAGATGGAGACCATCCTGGCCAACATGGTGAAATCCTATCTCTACTGAAAATACAAAAAAGAGCTGGGCGTGATGGCGCACGCCTGTAGTCCCAGCTACTCAGGAGGCTGAGGCACAAAAATCACTTGAACCCAGGAGGCGGAGGTTGCAGTGAGCAGAGATCATGCCACTGCACTCCAGCCTGGCAACAGAGCGAGACTCTGTCTCGAAAAAAGAAAAAAAAAAATAAGAAGACCTGACTCTATAAAATACAAAACCTTTATATGGCAAAAACAACTTGAAAATCAAAATGTAATTCATAAACAGAAATCAAGCTGAGAATACAGTGGCAAAGCATAAAATGAAGAGCTAATATTCACATCCAAAAAACACAATACCGTTAAACAAATAAATACAAAAGTAATGACCTAGATAATTTACATAAAATATCAAGGATATGAATACTCAGCCTCATTAATAATTATAGAAATGCACATTTGATCAAAATACAACTTTATTTTTATCAGAATGGAACAGATGAAATTATTTAGTGTCATTAAATGGTTGAGAAAGAAGGCCTTTCCCTAGGGTGCTGATGGGACTATGAGTAATTATAGTTATTTGAAGGCCAAAATGGTATGATTGCTTAAAAATAAAAACGTTACATTCTTTGACCCCAAAATTATACTTCCAGAAACGTATCCCACAGAAATATTTGCACAAAAGTCTAAAAAGATATAGATGCATATACATACATATGAGTGTATATGCGTGTTTATTATAAAACTGTATTTTTCTTCATTGGTAATGGAGAAAAAACATGCTGGAATTGCGCAAATATCTGTTTTCAGAAAATGAGTTAAATGAACTATGTGATGTCTCTTAAATAGGATTCAATGCAGTCTTTCAAAGAGGTATTTTACATACTCTAGTATAAAAAGTTGTTGTCCAAGGCCAGGTGCAGTGGCTCACGCCCGTAATCCCAGCACTTTGGGAGGCCGAGGCGGGTACATCACAAGGTCAGGAGTTCAAGGCCAGTCTGGCCAACGCAGTGAAACCCTTTTCTACTAAAAAAATACAAAAGATTAGCCAGGTATGGTGGCAGACTCCTGTATTCCAGCTACTCAGGAGGCTGAGGCAAGAGAATCGCTTGAACCCAGGAGGCCGAGGTTATAATGAGTCCAAATCATGCCACTGCACTCCAGCCTGAGTGACAGAGTGAGACTCCATCTCAAAAAAAAAAATTGTCAAAAAGACTGATAACTGATTAAAAGCAAATTACAGAAAAATACGTGAAGAGTGATTTGATTTTTATGTTAAAAATATGAGTATATTTTCCCCCCAACTCCACCACACACACACCTGTGTGTACCCTCAAGAAACTCTAAAGAAACATACGCCAACTGCAAATATTATGTCTATCTGGGAATAAGATTAATAGACATGCTTCCTTTTTTAGTGTATAATTTTAAATCCTAAGAACTCATAATATCTAAATAACAGAAAAGAGAAATATAAATAACAGAAAAGAGAAATATTTTAATAATTTAAAAATTTCAAAAGGATTCTTAAATCTAAAAGTTTTAACAATTTGCACTTCGATACTGACTTTGTGTTAATCTTGGGGGGAGCAGGAGGCCCGCAAAACATCCCTGGCACCCCACAGAATGGCTGCATAATCCAGAAAAGGAGGGGCTGCACTAGTCCAGCCATCCCCCCAACCCCCACCCAGCCTCTTAACTGCCCCCTGGAGGTCTCTGCACCAAGCTAAGCTGAAGAAGAGATGCCTTGGCTGATTCCCCAGATTCTTTGCTGCCTGGTGACCACCTGGTGGTCAGCAGCCAGACCTATCTCGGTGGCCAGTAGGAAACAGCATCTACCCAGATGGTCCAACCAGGGGTACTTCCATGAAAGGACTATTTACACAGATGTGAGCAGGGGTAAGGGAAGACACCGGAAGCGGAAAACCTTCCAGAGGTTGGGGACAGGAGGATGCTGTTATGGCCTCTAGGTCTGAAGAGCGAAAGGAAAGATCAGGGTCATCAGATGCCAGGGCTGGAGCCCCAGAGGAGGGACACTCTGAAAGCTGGAATCCTGCAGCAGCAGATGGTCAGAGACTTGGCACCAAACCACAGAAGGGACAGGGAAGAAATACCCTGCTCTCTCTCTCCTCCTGCCCTCCTGGATCTGGTTGGTGCCGTTCATTGATTAATTCCAATTGGAAGTCAGAAGATAAGGATATCCTGGGAGGGGGCAACCTTTCCTAGCTCAGAACAGAGCTGAAAGGGGCAGGAAATAAACCAAGTAGGAAATGTTTGGCAAAGGGAGATTGACCATGGCACTAAGTGAGTCTCCCACTTTGTTGGGGCAGTGAGGCTGGACTGGATCCCTTCTGTCTTCACCTCTGCTTTCTGCTACTTGCTGGCTGAATGTCCCAACAGTTGTTAAAATCTCTGAGTCTTACTCGGCCACCTTAATAATGGAGCTGAGCACCCCTGCTTTGTTCCCCAAGTTAATGGATGTGAACGTGCCTTGTGCAACTGTAAAGGGCTGTCTGTTCTAGGGAAAGGGAACACTACACTCCCATGCACCATTTTCCCCTAGGTTCAAGTCAGTCAGACAAAGAAATTAACAAGTTGCTCTCAGCACTGATTTTACATTTCTGATCTCTTAAATGTGTTTTAATGAGTTGATTTAATTTTAATGCAAAATTCATTAAAATGTATTTGCTCAAAGTAAATATTTAAATGAATATTACACACGCCAGGGAAGGAAGAGGCTTGTTTAATTACATGTCTTCTCTCTGAGAGTGATCCTGGTTTTGTCTATATAGGATGATTCCTCTAAGAACCACAGCATCTCCTGCCCGGGGGAAGGCCCATTGAAATCAACCAAGCCCCACACAGACTAAGAGCAGTGCGTTTGGGTTTGTGGAATATTGTGGTTGGAACTGGCTGCTTCCCAAAAGTTTACGGTCCTGCAGCCACAGAAGCACGCCTATATTGGGATGGTATGAGATAATAAACAACGCATGATGTATTTTCCCCCAAATTTCCTTGTACTTTTACACACAACTAAGCAGCTGAGCCATTTCTGGCTTCTTTTCCAAATGACAACACGTAAAGAAAAAAATGCTCATAAGAAACAAACCAGTCTATGGCCAGGTTTTGAGATTCAGAATAGAATTGAAAGTTAATACAAAACTAATGCTTTCAAGAGGAAAAATAAATGTTTTTCAGTTACAAGGTTTTGGTTCCCTTGAATTTAAGATTTTAGGTTCTGATCTAAACAGCAGGCAAAGAAAACAATGTTACTGGTGAGAGTTTCTCCTGTTCACCCGGAATAAGGATTCCACATGCTTTAGGGCAGATAAGAGAGAGCTGATGAGAAAAGCAAGCAGGGCTATGCAGTACTGTAAGCTGATGGTGGTTAGGTGATGAGTCCTCGCAAAAGCTTGGGAATCTGAAAGTAGAAGCAGCCTACCGTTGAGTTCCTTCTGCCTTCTTGGCATCAAAGAGTTGAGTAGAGATAGATGCACATAGGTCCTAGGCAGAGGGGCTGCGGTAACTCCCAAAGTCCTCGTGTTTACCGACCAGATAAAGAAAAGAACCGACATCATGCTCCCGGGTGACTGACATTAGCCCAGGCACACTATGGAGAGCTAGAGGACAAGGCTTGGCCTCTACACTGGGACTGGCCCCAGCAGAGAGATACTTGATTTAGGCCATCTGACACCTGCCCTCAACCCAGTGGTGGGTAAGTTTTCTCATCTATGAAATGGGATAATTAAGAAATCCTGTCTCATGGATTTGAAGAGGATATGACATGAGATTAGCCATGTAAAAACACTTAACACAGTGCCTAACACCTGTGCACTTTTTAGTAAATGTATTTGTCATTGGAAGTTCAAGAGTAGAGGGCTTAAGAGAGGAATGACATTGACAAAATCAAGAGAACATTTTTGGTGTGGATGGGGGCTTGAGTGTATTTGTACAGTGAGGTAAAAAAGAAAGATGGCACATAAAGACAGAAATGCAACCAAAGGAAGAGCAAAGGCCAAGAGGAGAGGCCATGAGAAAGCATGCTCACAATCAACCATCTCTTCTCTTACTAATCAAAAGAATGAGGAAGGTAGTGAGAGCGCACAAGAGCAGAAAACAGAACTCAAATGGTCAGTGAACATATAAAATATTATCTGTAGGCCAGGTGCGGTGGCTCACTCCAGTAATCCCAGCAGGCTGAGGGCGGATCACGAGGTCAGGAGTTTGAGACAAGCCTGGCCAACCTGGTGAAACAAAACTTAGCTGGGTGTGTTGGCGGGCACCTATAATCCCAGCTACGCGGGGGGCTGAGGCAGGAGAATGGCTTGAACCCAGGAGGCGGAGGTTGTGGTGAGCCAAGACCAAGCCACTGTACTCCAACCTGGGCAACAGAGTGAGACTTCATCTCAAAATAATAATAATAATCATCATCATCATCTGTACACCTAGTAATGAAATATATATTAATAAAATAGTGAGATATGTTTATCTTATTAGGTGGACAGATACTTAATTCTCAATGCTGTGAAGATGAGGTGAGATGGACAGTTATATTCCCTTTAAAAATCAGCATGCTATTTTAGAAAAATTATTCAACACCTTCTGCCATGTTATAAAATTATTTGACTTAATAATTTTGCTGATAGAATTTTACTTTAAGGAAATACAAGTTGGAGTCAAAGGTTTTTGTATACAGCTGTCTTTGCTTATTAATCATGTTAGGAAAATACTGATTACAATTTTAAAGTGTATCATCATTAGGATAGAATAATCAATCAATTTTGTTTAGTCATTAAAATGACTAAAATAATCAATATTGTTTAGTCATTAAAATGTTTTTAAAATTTATATGGAAATGTTTACGATAGGCTATTTTTTAAAAGCATGATATTAAATTTTATATAGAGTAAGATCCCAAGTGTGTGAGATTGTGTGTATGTGTTTATACATTGCACTCCTGTGAGTCAGGTATGGAGACAGATTAATTTTGGAGAATGTGTTCCAGAGCCCCCCAAAGATGCTCATACACAAATACCCCCAAATTGTGAATATGTTGTGTTACATATCAGAAAATCCTTTGCAGATGGAATTAAGGTTACAGACCTTAAATAGAGACATTACCCTGGATTATCTGGTTGGTCCAGCGTAACTATATGGGCCCTTAAAAGTAGAAGAGGAAGGGGAAATAGTCAAAGAGAAATGCCACAACAGAAGAGAGGGGAGAGATTGGAAGCAGGAGAAGGGAGTAGCTCCATTTGCTCTTACTGGCTTTGAAGATGGAGAAAAGCGCCTATAAGCTAAGGTATGTGGGCATCTCGAGAAGTGGAAAACAGCTCTCAGGCAACAGCCAGCAAGGGACGTCATTCCTACAGCCGCAAGCAGATTAATTGTTCCCATAATCTAATGAGCAATGAAATTGATTTCCCCATAGAGCCTCCAGGCAGAAATGCAACCCAGCAGACACCTTGATTTCGGCCTTGCAAGGCTCTAAGCAGAAGAACCAACCGAACTACCCTGGATCCAGATTTCTGGCCTTCAGAACTGTCCATAATATATCTGTGTAGTTTGAAGCTGTGAAATTTCTATCTATACCAACAATAGAAAAGTGATGCAACATACATTAATGTGATATAGATCTTGTGAGCCGTTTTGTGTTCACTCCACTCACTCATTCAACAGACGAATTTTACAGTCACAGTTAGAAATTTTAAGGTAAAGGAGAACTCAGTACTCACTAGTCATTGTTTTCATGTTATTTATTCCCTTCCCCACCCCTAACCCCTCCGTTTCTGACTTTGATGTTCAGACATTCTGGAGAACATAAAATGCTCCAGGGACTTTTGTGGCTGATCACGAGGTACACTTTAAAGTTTTATTTACTTTCTAACTTGTGGTAAAATACACATCATATAAAGCTTTTTTTTTTTTTCTGTGCACGTTTCTTTTGTTTTGCTAATGTTTTTACTTGTAATTGACCCATAATTGTACATAATTATGGTGTACAATGTGATGTTTCATGACATGTATAAATAGCATAACGATCAAATCACGGTAATTACCATGTCCCTCATTTTAAACATTTGTCATTTCTTTGTGGTTATGACGTTCAAAATCTCCTCATCTAGCTATCTTGAAATATATAATACAGTACTATTTGCTGTAGTCACCCTACTGTGTGATTGAGCAACAAAACCCTTTCTTGCTGTCCAACTGTGACTTTGTCCCTATGACAAACCCATCCCCGTTCCCCTTTCCTCCCTACCCTCCTCAGCCTGTGGTAACTATCTTAACCATTTTTAAGTGTATAGGTCAGTAGTGCTAAATACATTCACATCATTGTGCAACCAATCTCCAGAAGGTTTTCATATTGCAAAACAAGAGCTCTACCCATTAAAAAACAACTCCCCACTCCTCCTCCCCTTACCTCAGGCACTGACACCCATCATTCTACTTTCTGAGACTACAAATTTGATTACACTTGGCACCTTATGTAAGTGGAATGGTACAATATTTATACTTTTTTTTTTTATTGAGATGGAGTTTCGGTCTGTCACCCAGGCTGGAGTGCAGTAGTGCAATCTTGGCTCACTGAAACATCCGCTTCCCGGGTTCAAATGAGTCTCCTGTCTCAGCCTCCTGAGTAGTTGGGATTACAGGCATGCACCATCACACCTGGCTAATTTTTTGTATCTTTAGTAGAGACAGGGTTTCACCATGTTGGCCAGGCTGGTCTCGAACCCCTGACCTCGTGATCTGCCCGCCTCGGCCTCCCAAAGTGCTGGGATTACAGGTGTGAGCCACTGCACCCAGCCAATATTTATAATTTTGTTCTAGCTTCTTTCACTTAGCACAATGTCTTCAAGGTTCAGCCATTTTGCAGTATGTTTTAGAGTTTCCGTCTATTTTAAAGACTAAATAATGTTCTATTGAATGGATGAACCACATTTCATTTATCCCTTAATTCATGGGGATTAGGTTGCTTCCACTTCTTTGCTATTGAAAAAAATGCTGCTATGAATATGGGTTTACAAATATCTCTTTGTGACTCTGCTTTCAATTGGTTAAAATATATACACAAATGGTATTGCTAGGTCATATATAATTCTATTGTTAATTTTTTTAGGAATCATTATAGTAACCGCACCATTTGAAATTCTCATCAAAAGTGCACAATGGTTCCATTTTCCCCACATCCTTGACAACAGTTTTGATTTTCTGTTTTATGTTTTGGTTTTGTTTATCTGTTTTGCTTTTTTTTTTTTTTTTTTGGTTAGTAGCCATTTTGATGGGTATGAGGTGAAGGATGAGCAATTTAAAGTATCAAATCAGTGAGGGGAAGGGAAGGAGATGGTAACTCTTTGTGTGTCTAGGATTGTCTCAATACATGCTACATAGAAAATGAGTTAAAGAGAATAGTTATTAAACTTGAATCACAGCATCATACAAAGGGAGACAGGCAAAGACCAAGATGACCAGCAATCAAGACCAAAGTAGGTTAATGTGCAAACACTAAACCCATCCCCCAAATCACAGCAAAAGTCTTGGAAGGGACTCACTGGGTCAGAGATTTCTGGAGAAAATATCACTACCAAAAACACTTTATGTTTCTTTATAAATCTGCCTATCTGGAGAAACTTTAGAAATAATCTAATCTATTATTTCCCCAATCAGAAGTACCCAGGTTTTACCCACAAAGATAATAATGGTGCCAGTTGTGGATTTTTAGTAATGTCCATGTTAAACTAAATGCTTAACATTATACCATGCTTGCTCAATTTAGGATCTTTATTTGCAAATAAAAATAACTTGGGCTCCTTTAAGACATAAGTTCACCTTATTTGGGAAAATTCTGAAAACTGAAGGGAAAATATATGGAAACAGGAAAGACATAATAAACACAGTGAATGAAGAAATTTTTAATTTTTTAAAAACTGAAATGTACTGAGCTATTTTGTTTTATTAAATATTCATTTATATGTGTATTTAATGAATAAGTAGGGAAACAATGTTTCTTAAAACTGCACCTGAATATAGAAAATCCAATGTGCTTTTGCTGTAGAAAGCTGAAGAATTGCCAATTCTCCTACTAATGAGAATAAGATGGCAATTTACAAAGTCATAATTTTCTCTGAGAACAGCAGAGAGCTCATAAAGTTGAATTCATAAGGAAACTGAGTAAATTCCGAAGGGCAACAGTCCCACTGGTGTGGCGGAAAATGTTTAGCTAACCCCTTCCTGATGGAGAACAGCCCTGATATTTAGTCTTTGCAAATTTCCATGGGATAAATATTCCCACTGTGGCCAATTTCAAGCTAGTAACGTGGTCAATGAGATTAGAGTTAGGAAGAGATTTGCATAATTGGCCATTGGGAGCTGGAAGGATCTGGCTGTAGCACTCCTAGATAGGACACTCCTAGGAAACGAAAGATTAAACACAACAACAAGCATAATAAACTCTTTCATCTTTGGCAAAGCATGGAAGAATAAGTGGCTTTCATAAAAACAGATACAAATCAGGTAAAAATTTTACATATTCCAAATGAGACCTATCACCCATTTCAAAACAACTGGAAGCTCCAAATGCAAGAGAAGTTTGTGGTCACTCAGAAGCTCCTTACTGCGGGACTACAGGGAATGCTTACCCATAAGGAGCACAGCACAAGACCATAGACAGCTTTCTGTAGTGCCGATGTGCAGGCTGTGATTGTGTGCCCTTAGTGTGGGACTTGCAGGTCCCTGCCTGGCCCCTTCTCTCCTATTAAGCAATAACCTCTTCTGCTGGGAGGGAGGCAGCAACTCCTCTCACCTCTAGGGCTCAAGAAAAAAGTCATTTCTTCTGGGAGAGGGATGGAAGCAAAGCTCATCTGCTTCTGGGAAACAATAAGCTTCCCCCCTACCCGCCCTGCTTCTATGGTTATAATACACAGATTTAGCCCATCTTGCCTCAGGATGATGAAGAAGATGCATAATATCAATATAAGGAACGAAAGCAGAACAATTGCTACAGCCCTGCAGCCATTGGGAAGATAATAAAGTAACATTATAACAACTTTATGCCAATATATTTCATGAGCTATGCGAAATGCACAAATTGCTTGAAACATCAAAGCTATTAAAGTTCACTCAAGAAGGAACAGACAACCCAAATATCCTATATCTATTAATGAAATTGAATTAGTAGTAAAGAGCCTTAGCAGAAACAGAACTCCAAATCAGATGACTTCACTGGAGAATTCAACCAAATATTTGATGACTAAATAATATCAAATATAGATAACTTCATCCAGAAAAGAATTTAAAAAGGCTCAACACATGACAGTTAATTTTGTGAGACACCCAAACCAAACCAAACAGCCAGTGGAACATTACAAGGAAAGGATTCTACAGGTCAGTGTATCTCATAAGCATAGGTCCAAAAATAATTAATAAAATATAAGCAAATTGAAAATAGAAGTACATAAAAATTATAGTATGTTCTTATCAAGTAAGGTTTATTGCAGGAATGTAACAATTTAACATTAAGAAATACAATATAGATATGTATATTTTACCATATTAAAAACAGGAAAACAAAACATGGTAATTTCAATAGATGCAAACAGAATGATGTGACGACAGTCAAGATTCATCACGATAAAAATTCTCAGCAAATGAAGAATAGAACAGAATTTCTCCAACCTGATTAAAGAACATCTTCATCAAACCTATAGCTAATACTATACTCCCTGTTCAAAACTGAAACTTTTCCCTGCAAAATACTGGGATAAAACAAAAGTACCCAATGTCATCACTTTTATGAAACATTGTGTTGAAGGTCTTAGAAAGTGCAGTAAGGCCAGAAAATCATATTAAAGTAATACGAGTTATTAAAAAATAATTTAAAATTGTCTTTTTGTGTAGATTACATGACTGTCTACATAGATTTCCAAAGAACATTCAAAAATACCAATAGAACAAATAAATTTAGTAAGTTCACATGATGCAAAATCAATACATATAATCTGCAATTAGTGGTTGGATATTATTTTAATAACATGTACATTAGCATAAAATTTTGGAAGGTATATGAAGTTATAAATTTAACAAATGTATATACAAGATTAATATGCTAAATACTATAAAATATTGACCAGAGAAATCAGAGAAGATCTAAATAAATAGAGCTTACCATACTCAAGATACTATACCTCCGATTCAATATTTTTAGAAATAATCTCTCTCCAAATTGCTCTATAGAGTTAAAGATATCTCAAATCAAAATTCTACTCAGCTATTTGTTTAAATTAGCAAGTTTTGCACTCAACATTTATCTTTAAAAAAAGCAAAAGGTTTATATTGGCCAACACAATTTTGATAAATAACAATGTGCTGTCACCACCCTATTTCAAGACTTACTATACTGCTACATTAAGACAGTGTTGTATTGACATAAGGATAGAAATGTAGATCACTGTAACAGAACAAAGAGTCCATGAGTAACCCATCCATTTGTGGCCGATTGATTTTTGAGAAAGATGCCGAAGTAATTCACTTGGAAAACTACAGCGTTTCAATAAATAATGCTGGAATAATTTCACATATATACAGTCATGTGCCACATAAGGACATCAGTCGATAATTGACTGCATATACAATGGTGGTCCCATAAGATTATAATGGAGTTGAAAATTCCCATCACCTAGTGATGACATATCCTTGGTAACATCATGGCACAGCACATTATTCAACTGTTTATAGTGATGCTGGTGTAAACAAGCCTACTGTGCTGATAGGTCATATAGAATATAGCACACACAATTAGGAACAGTACATACAACTTGATAATGATAATAAATGACCATGCTACTGGTTTATGTATTTACAATACTATATGTTTAATCATTATTTTAGAGTATACTCCTTCCACTTATTTAAAAAAAAAAAGTTAACTGTGAAACAGCCTGGGACAGATCCTTAGGGGAGGTATCCAGAGGAAGGCATTGTTATCCTGGGAAATGACAGCTCCGTGTGTGTTACTGTCTGTGAAGCCCTTCCCATGGGGTAGGTGTGCAGGGATAGACAGTAATGTGGATGATCCTGACCCTGTGTAGACGTAGACTGTGTTTATGTCTTGATTTTTCACAAAATGTTCAAAAAGTATAAAAAGCCCACAAACGGTGGCTCATGCCTGTAATCCCAGCACTTTGGGAGGCAGAGGTGGGAGGATCAATTGAGCCCAGGAGTTCAAGAACAGCCTGGCAACATGGCAAGACCTAGTCTGTACAAAAAAAAATACATAAATAAAATAGAAAAATAGAAAAGAAAAAAGATTATCGAATAAGGATATAAAAAATAAAATATTTTGTATAGCTTTACAATGTGTTCATGTTTTAAGCTGTTATTACTGAAGAGTCAAAAAAGTTTAAAAAATAAAAACACATATGAAGTGAAAAAGTTACAGTAAGCTAAGGTTAATTTATTATTGAAGAAAAATTTTTAAATAAATTCAGTGCAGCCTAAGTGTGGAGTGTTTATGAAGTCTACAGTAGTGTACTGTAATGTTCTAGTCTTTTACACTCACTCACTGACTCACCCAGAGCAACTTCTACTCCTGCAAGCTCCATTCATGGCAAATGCCCTATATACATGTGCCATTTTTTACCTTTTTATGGAATTTTTACTATATTTTCCTATGTTTAGATATGTTTAAACACACAGATACTTACCATTGTGTTATAATTGTCTGCAGTATTTAGTACAATAGCATGCTGTACAGGTTTATAGCCTAAGAGCAGTAGGCCATATCATACAGTATAGACGTGTACACTAAACTCTACCATCTTTGTACATCTTTGTGTCAGCTCACTTCATTATGTTTGCACAATAAGGAAATCACCAAATAATACAGTTCTCAGAATGTATCCCATCATTAAGTGACACATGACAGTAAAGGAGAGAGAAAACAAAAACTAACCTCAACCCATACCTCACACCATATTAAAAATCAACTTGAATCGGATTAAAGGCCTAAATGTGAAGCCTATAACTATGCGACTTCTGGAAACAGTATTGGAGAAAATGTTCGTGACCTTGGGTCAAGTCAAGGTTTCTGATGATGCACATCCAACAAAATTTCAGTACTACCAGGAAGCTCTGTCTATGGCCTTGTGCCCTGCCCATCAGCTTCCTCATGAGCTTGAATGTGGGGTTTCCAGCTGTTCTAAAATGAGGTGATAGTCCACACTTTGAATTTGTAAAGTCCTTCTCTAATAATAAACCAGTACCCATAATATATAAAGAACTCATGTAACATCATCATTCGTAATTAATGTGAAAGTATTTGAACACGGAAACATGGATGGAAGGTAAGTATATGAAGAGGCATTCAACATCATTACTCATTAATAAAATGCAAATGATGTGATGCATCACATATCTGCTAGAATGGCTCCAAACAAACAACCACAACAACAAAACAGACAACACCAAGTCCTGAAGAAGATGTAGAACAATGAAACTTTCATCTAATTCTAGTGGGAAGGCAAAAAGTAATAGCCACTTTGGGAACCCATGAGCGTTTATTATGAGGTTAAACATATACTTATCATATGATCAAGAATTCTTCTCCCAGATATTTACCCGTGTCATAAAGACATATCTACACACAAAATCCTATCAGCCAAAGTGTATAGTAGCTTCAGTCATTATAATTCCTCCCTCCAACTTCAGGGCTTCTCTTGAACTTTATCAATTGATGTGATTTCTTCTCTAAGCACCAAAAGTATTTGTGGTAAAGAGCGTGCAATGAGTAAAGAATGTAAGAAGGGACAGTAAGAATGCTATCAGGAGAGAACATCTTATATCTGCATCTGAATGGGACCCCCACCTCTGTATTTTCATCGTGCTCACTTCTACCCCCAGCCCTCAACATATCTGAAGGCAAAAACTTCAGGGCCCTTTTTCATTATGTTACTCAAGAATTATTTTCTCTATTTCAATATCTGATATGCACTGAGGGCATAAAAGCAATCTGTCATTTTTAAAGGAAGAAGCCATTTAGGGAAATCTATATATTTTTTTAACATTTTAGCAGTACCCTGAGCATTGCCAGAAAAATAAAATTATGACAGCAAAAGAATTCTTAAAGAGATGCTCTTCTCATTAGACCTCCAAATAACTGAGAAGACAAATTCTGCCTTCTTTGCTTATATGGAGCAGACCACATTTGTAACATTTTATATTATAATAGCTATTAAGAGATAACAATATACGTATCTAAGGGTGAATGTCTTCAGGCTAACTTTGCTTATTTATGGTTAAAAATAGTGTGAGATAGTAACCTTTATTCACCTTCTCACATTACAAGTTGGCTGTCTACTCATTGCTTCAGGAGAGTTACAGTACCCTAGAAGTCTTTGGCTGTTTTCTAAAAGACTTGAGCAGCAACAGTCTCATCAGTTAACACTGAAGGAGTGCTGTCCTTATGCCCCTTGCTGTTCTCAACCTTCCACATTTGTTAACTCATTTAATCCTCACATCCACCCTATAAGAGTGAGGACTAAGCTCTGATTTTTTTTTTATCTTGCCCAAATTCCTATCTAAGGGGTCTGGGGAGTCATGTCCTACAAAACATAAATTCTCATCAGATGGGTTTTATTTAACCCTACATATCATGACTTACTTTCCAACCTGACTCAGCATAACCTATGAGACAAGGAAGAAAATCAAGATATTTTGCCCCAAAACAGGTTTCTTTGCCATATCTTGAAATGGCCCTGAAAAGCTGTCCTTTGTGTGGTAAAATATGCATCTGTAAGGAATCTCTATTAACATAGCTAGGTCTTTTTCTCCCAGAAAATGTTCAAATTTACCTACAGCCTGGAAGCTCCCCCTCACCCCCACACCCACTTTGAGTTGTCCTGCCTTTCTGAACCAAACCAATGTATTTCTTAAATGTATTTGATTGATGTCTCATGCCTCCCTAAAATGTATAAAGTCAAGTGTGCCCCAACCACCTTGGGCACATGTTCTCAGGCCCTCCTGAGGGCTGTGTCACAAGCCATGGTCACTCATATTTGGCTCAGAATAAATTTCTTGTAATATTTTACAGAGTTTGACTCTTTTTGTCGACAAGAGCAATGCTATTATCATCATTTCTATTTTGCAGAAGATAAAACTGAGGCACAGAGATGTTAAATAAGTCACTCAGGTTTGCACAGCTATTGTGACCAAGATGAGATTTGGACACAAGCTGTCAGAATTCACTTTCCATGCATTTCAGGATCAGACTACAAGGCATCTCAAGCTTTCATTGCCTCCCAACACTGAACTGTCTTTCCAAAATCCTTAAGTGAGTATATTAAGAAGTAAAAACAAGAGAGTTCTCAGCAATATTTAAGGTCTTTCGTCTACACACGTGAAGGTAGAGAGGTTATTCGAACTGAAAAAATATCTTCTCTTTGTGGCTGGTGTGGTAGGGAATAGAGATGGATGGATTTCTAGAATAGAGGAGCTAGAGACAAGAGATCAGAGCAGAAATGTCCTTGAGGGGCTTCCTTCCACGAGTGGCTCCATCTGCTAGATAGAGCTAGATTTACTGTTGAACAAATGGAGCTCAAGCTTCAGGGGCCTCACTTGCAGGAGCCCTTCCAAGCCCCTGTGCATGGCTCCACAAATGTGTTTACATAGTCACATGATTTTGCAAATTTTAAAAAAGTAACATATTTGAACTTCAATCCGTTAAGATGGCTGCCACATCATCATACTTTCCCTTATGTGGGCTGGTGATGAGTGGCTGTAGGCACATTTTTTGGATCTGGCTCAAGGTAAGTTGAGCCGAAGATGCATTTCAATGGGGATTAGTGGGTCACGGTTACGTGGTTAGCAGTTGCATCCGTGTAATACTAAGCTATTGATAGAAATACTTTCCCTCCCACTGCACCAACACACTTGGTAGAAGAAACAACACAAGATTTGATGTGCCTGGAGTCATATTCTCATTTATGCAAAATTCTCCCAACTATCAGGCAAGTAATATCATAAGGGGAGGATTCAGTCTTCAGTGATATCTAATCAAAATGGAAATCCTCTCCTACAGGAATATAACTGACCCTGCAGCATATAAAACTATACCTGCATCATGTGCCATTTTCCAGTTTGATGAGGACTGCATGAAATAGACTTTACCAGAAAACATGAAGCAGTTCAACAAACTGCAGCTACATTGCAGGCATTAGGCACCACAAATATCAATCATAAAAAAGAGAAATGTTTGGCTTTTTTATATCATAGTAAAATCATATTTTAAAATCATTCGAATAAAGAGGTTATCAAGGAGTATCCAAAAACATATATTTCTTATCAATAGTATAGAATAGGGGTGCCAGGCAGTTCATTATTACCAATATTGTGTTCATTTCCTAAAATCTTGTGATATTTTTGGTATTTGTCAGCTTTTTAAAATGTGTAAACTGTTGTGATTCGTTTTCATATGCTAAATAATTATTCATATTTTATACGATATAATGAATTTCTCTAAGTTTCTCTTTAAAGATTTAGCCTGTCCACCTCCTTATCTTTTGTTCTTAAATTTAACTTTCCTTGCCCTTTGTTACTGTAAAACAGCCTACCCCCTTCCCAGCAGCTCTAATTAATAACTCACATCTGTTCCCTTGGTTACCTGCACCCATTGTTCCCCCAAAACTGCACCTCTTACATGCTTCACCACTGTACCTCACATCTGCCTTCTCTTCCATATTTAGAAAAATATTTGCAAGTAGCTAATTGGGTCAGCTCAGATTGTGCAGTCCAACCCCAGCCTATGGGGGAGTGACTCAAAGGTAGGGACTACCATCAGAGGTAAAAGCTCACTGCTTTCCTTTGTTCCTTCTGCTCTTGTGATCTTGATTGACACGAGTGGCACCCTTCTGCAGAAGTAAATTGCCTAGCTTAGAGAACTTCTGCCTGAGTGCTGGTTTCACTTTGCTGCACCAAGCATTTATTCCTAGAACATTTTTATATTCAGCAATTCTGGGGGCTCATCCGGGATCCCCATTCTCCTTCAAGAAGGGGTCTTCAGTCACCCTACCCAGGGGAGATGTGTCCCACTGCCCCATTGTGGTGGCCTCAGGGAGGGGAGATCAAGACCCACCCGTTGTTATGAATAAACTTGGACTCTCAGCAACACGGGGAGGAGAGGCTTGCAGTATCGTGGCGACCAGCTAAACTCTGTGCACAGACCAAGGTAAGAAATGTTGCAGGGGCAACAAAGTACTTCCTTGGTGGTCGGGGGTGGGGGGCTCGGGGCATTCTGGTGGTTGAAAGTGCATGAATGGTAACAAGCACTACTGCTGTGCAGAGTGAGTGAGTCCAGTCTTTGGTTCCGTGGTCACCTCATACGGCTTAGGGTGGCCCTTCAGGGGTCTCATCAGGGGTTTATATTGACCCACCATCAATGCTAAGAGGGACCTAAAATATTCCTGCAAGGGAAGCGGCCAGAGCGGACAAAGCAGAAGGATGCAAGGAGTCTCCAGCAGGTGGGGCTAAAGGGTAGGTGAATTGGGCCTTAGCAAAGCTTCCAGTGAAAAATAAAGGAGACCCCCTAATATAGGGGGTTGAACCACAAGGGACCCCCCAAATAGGCAAGAAATCCCCCAGATAGGCTTGCCTAGTGGGTTGAGCCACAGCAAGCCCCCACTAGGCAAGAAATTCCTAATAAGAGGGATTGCGCCTAGCCATCACCCAATATGGGAAATATTACAAGCAAAAAGGATAAGAATAGTGACAGAGATATACCACCTGATAGTCCCCTAGGTCTCATAAAAAAGATAAGAATAATAACAAAAATATGCCACCTGATAGCCCCCTAGGTCTCATGCTAAAATGTTGGGAAGATACTAAAAGAACTAAACATAAAAAAAGCAACAAATAATAAAATATTGCTGTTCTATTTGGACTCAAAGACCTATCCTCAATCCCTCAATCTTCTAGCCAAAGTTTGGGTCGACTGAGAATATACTATGTCAACTTTTAATTCAACATGTAAATAATAAAAGCCCAATTTCTCAAGAAAAACTGGACTACGCTCTTTGTTGGAAGCAAAAACCTGTCCTCCCTTTTCCCTTATGCACCTGCCCCTACTGTAGAGCCAGTGAAGGAAGGGGCTCAGGGGATCGTGGCAAAGAGAACAGCACACAGGATCCCCTAGACCATCTTCCATCTGATACGACTAGTCCCCCACCTAATACCCTCAACCCATCTCCTCAGGCCCAGCCTAAGTCTCACTCTCCAAAAGGGCTCCAAGCTCTTAATTCGCCAGGTGGCTTTTGCCGGGCTAGCAACATCAAGGATCCACCGCAACATGTTGTCAGTGCCGTCCCGCCCATAGTGCGCCCCCACGGCAGGCAAAGCCCATGCTCCTGCCCCCGGGCTGGTCCAGGGTCCCGGCACCATATCGACGGGCCGCAGCCTATGCCCTGAGCAAATTACGTTACGGGACACCTGCCTTCCTTTTGCCAAGGCCAAGTAATAGGGGGTTTCAGCTGCGGCTCCATGCAGCTAGGCATCCCTGCAGCTAAGTTTCCTGAGCAAGTAGTAGATAATCTTTCAGCCAGTATATCCACTAACATTTATTATGGTCAGGTGAGTGTTAAAAGTAAAAATATCCACCAAAAAAGAACTTTCATTCTTTAAGGTCACTTATATTAAAATGTACCACCAGAAGAGTATTACATGTGTATAAATATAAGGCTATTCTATTCAAAAAATAGTTTAACATTAACTACTAATAATTCACTTCACCTAGCAAGTTTCTTAACGAGAGATCCAAAGCTAAAAAGAAAGCACAGATGTTTAGATTTAACTAATTACAAACGTCCGGCGAAACTTAGGAAAAACCCTCTTCAGAAATGATTGAGAAAAAAAGAACGCAACAGGTATTCAGTAATTAATTAAAAAGTTCCTAAAAAACTAAAGTCAAAATGTTTAGTAATTAGTCTATTCAAATTTATAAGCTGTCTGCACTTAGTCAAGCTTTAAAGTACTTGCAGGACCAGGAAAGAACCATCTATACTAATTCCAAATACACCGTTATGGTGGCTCATACGTTTACAAAATTTCAGATTAGATTCATAGGAAAAGTCAAAGCCTTGTTCATGAGAAGTTAATCACCCAAGTATCTATCGTCTATGTCCCCAAGCACCAGAAAAGCCTGTCTTTTAAAATAACCTAGCAAATCAGATAAGCGGAACACGTTACAGGTTTCTCCTGTGGGAGCTAAAGGGAACTCAAAAAAATATTACCCATTAAAGAACCCAAGTATTACATAGTCAAAGTTTTTACATGCATAGGAATTTATATCCTTAGCCAAACAAGTCTAGAGACTTGGTTGCCATAGATCAAATGTCTTCTGTCTTCCTATTACCCTAGTAAGAATCCAAACTACCTCTCAAAACAATCCACTGCCAACATTCCTACAGACTTGGTTTATATTCCACTTACTCTTCCCTCAGAACTCAAAAATTTCCAGTACAGGCATCACCCCTAGAGTTCTCAGTACATCAACACCAGCCTGAGGAGCCTGCCTAGTGCTTCTAAACACTGAAACTACAGTCCAAACATCAAGAAAAGATGGGCCCATCAAACCTGAGTCAAAAAAGCACTGCCATCTCCGAGGTCGTGGGCCATTATCCAAACGAAAAACCCCTCAAACTAAGGTTAAGAAAAGTTTAACTCTCTTTTATCTCTTCTATTCCCCTTTCTTCTTTCCTCATTCTATTACTAATCTTGCTATCAATTAAACTAAGTCAGACTCATCCCAAATCATTGCCTTTAATACTTGCCTTGTTATGCCTTGTGAAGAGAATGAACAATGGCAAAGGTATGTCTCTACTTTAGAAAAATACCTCTGCCCCTTCAGAGAAGCCACTGACCCCACGCCTTGCTCATCGCGGGGGTATCAAGGCACCCCAAGTTGGGAGATATGTTCTCAATGGGAAGATGTCATCCTGACTACCAGTGAACACGGCGGGACCTCCGCAGAAGGCTGTACTGACCTAAAATCTTACCTCTGCCTTACCAAAGGAGCCACCCCCTCTAATTGTCAACTTGACCATTGTAACCCAGTAACTATCTCTATTAACACCCTTACCTCCACCACCCCTGCACCCCTTTTAGAATGCTTTTATGTCTTAGGAGCAGAGGCCAATCAATAGGACCCTATAGGCTTCTTTAAAATATGTTTTACTGACCCTCCTTCTCCTTCTAAACCTTCTACCCTGCACAACAACAATGCCAAGGTAAATATTGTAAAAGTGAAGAATCTAAGACAAACTCTGGCAATTGAAACAGGATATCAAGATATAAATGCCTGGTTGGAATGGATGCAATATTCCATCCGCACTTGGAACAAAAACAATTGTTAAGCTTGTGTGCATGGCAGACCAGAGGCCCAGATTGTCCCCTTTCCACTAGGATGGTCCTTCAATCGACCAGGCATGGGCTGTATGGCAGCTCTTTTCCAGGATTCCACAACCTGGGGCAACAAATCATGCCAAGCTCTCTCTCTGCTATATCCCGAAGTCCAACACCCTGTGGGTCAGCCCCTGAGGGCCATTCAGCTTCCATCTCCCAAAGTCAATTTCACCTCATATCTCTCACGATGTGGGGGGAACTTGGCATTCCTTGGAAGCTTAATGGGATGCAGTGAGCTTAGGCCCTTCCAAGAGCTTACCCATCAGTCTGCCCTTAGTCATCCTCAAGCGGATGTATGGTGGTATTTCAGTGGACCCTTACTGGACACTCTGCCACGTAACAGGAGCGGCACTTGTGCTCTTGTCCAGTTGGCTATCCCTTTCACCCTGGCATTTCATCAACCAGAAAAAGAAAAACCACAACACCGAAAAATAAGAGAAGCCCCTTATGGGTCTTTTGACTTGCAAGTTTACATAGATGCCATTGGAGTCTCATGAGGAGTGCCTGACAGGTTCAAAGTCCAAGACCAAATAGCTGCAGGATTTGAATCCATATTTCCACAGGTAACTATGAATAAAAATGTAGCTTGGATAAATTACATCTATTATAATCAGCAGTGGTATATTAATTACACCAGGGGTGCTATCAAAGGAATAGCCAACCAATTAAGACCCACTAGCCAAATGGCTTGGGAAAACAGGATAACTCTAGAGCCAAAAAAGGTGAGGTTTGTGCTATGATTAAAACCCAATGTTGTACCTTCATCCCAAACAACACTGCCCCCAAAGGGAGCATAACAAAGGCCTTACAAGGACTTACTGCTTTATCCAATGAATTAGCTAAAAATTCTGGAGTAAATGACCCTATTTCAGGATGGCTGGGAATGTGGTTCAGTAAATGGGAAGGAATCATAGCCTCAGTTCTTATTTCTTTTGCAATTGCAATAGGTGGACTCATTCTTGTTGGCTGCTGTGTTATACCATGCATCCATGGGCTAATACAAAGGATTGTACAACCAGCACTTAGTTCTCCTCCAGCTTATTCAAGTAAGCTTTTCTTTTTGGAAGATCAAGTTGAATGGCAAAGCCAAGACATGTTTAAAAAGTTTGAAGAGAAAGAATTGTAAGAAAATTAAAAGGGAGGAATTGTAAGATACAATGAATTTCTCTGAGTTTCTCTTCAAAGATTTAGCCTGCTAACATCCTTGTTCTTTGTTCTCAAACTCATTTCCTGTTCCCCCTTGCCCCTAGTTACTGTAAAACAGCCTACCCCCTTCCCAGGCGCTCTAATCAATAACTCACATCTGTTCCCTTGGTTTCCTGCACCCATTGTTCCCCCAAAACTGCATGTCTCACATGCTTTACCACTGTACCTCACATCCCATTTCCCTTCCTTATTTAGAAAAATATTTGCAAGTAGCCAATCGGGTCAGCTCAGATTGTGCAGTCCAACCCCAGCCCATTGGGGAGTGACACAAAGGTAGGGACTACCGTCAGAGATAAAAGCTTGCTGCTCTCCTTTGTTCCCTGTGCTCTTGTGATCTTGACTGACGTGAGTGGCACACTTCTGCAGAAGTAAATTGCCTTGCTGAGAAAACTTTTGCCTGAGTGTTGTTTTCACTTTGTGGCACCGAGCATTTATTCCTAGAACATTTTTATATCCAACCATTTGTACCTAATTTTTATTTGTAAATTTTGTATTATATTTCTTAAAGGGGGTTTCTAAAATTGTATAATCTTCAGGCCACGTAAAACCTGGAGGCTCTGGCTCTGTCTATACATTAGAATAATCAGGGGAGCCATCACAAAGTGGAGACACAGACCCAATACAGCCCTTAGATAGACTGATTCAATTGGTCTGGCATGAGGTACAGGCATCAAGAGAGACAGAGATGATAGATAGATAGATAGATAGATAGATAGATAGATAGATAGATAGATAGATAGATAGACAGATAGATAGATAGATAGACAGACAGATAGATAGATAGATATAGATAATAGAATGATACATAGAATAATAGAGATTCAATAGATAGAAAGGATATATGATAGATAGATAGATAGATAGATAGACAAAGTTTTCTGTGGGATTCTAAAGTCCAGCCATAGTTTAAAACAATTGATCTGGGTGAAGAAACCCTGGATCAATGGTGGTTTATCACCTCATACAACATATTTGTTTCACAAGTATTGCCCTATACCAAGAGAAGTATCAAAATGCAATAAGAACCTCGGTGAAATGAGAAGGAAGAAGCAGCAGCCCCACTCATAAGACCCCAGGACCTTTCTGGACTCTGGATTTTCTAGTACTCTGGCCCAGGGCAGGGCTCAGGATGTCTGCCAACCTGGTATCATGAAGACTGAACTACAAATGTCAATTGAACTATATAATGTAAGGAAGATTTCATTTCTATATATCGTTGTCCTTGCATTCATATTTGTATCCTTCCTCCCCAAAGTGACATCCTCCCCATCATTGCAAGAATCTTACAGTTTCATATGAAGAGTCTGGAGATGACTTTTGAAAGAGACTGCACTCTGAAATATCTGGCCATTGTTACTGATGTGTTCACTTCTTGTGTCCTGATAATCAACATCAGACTTGGGATTAGTTACAGGGACACCTACAAGATGTGGTGACAGCCCTTTCCAGTGTATGTTAGGCCATTGTGACTTAGGGGTTATTTATTACTTCTGTATAAGTTTGCCTTTGGTGACTGCTGCACTCCCCAAACTCACATAACCACATAAAGGTAGCATAATTGACAATTGTAGCTACTTAAATTTAAACAATTCCTCAGTTATAATATACAGGAATACTTTTTTTTTTGCTTAGAATGTACAGAAATAAATATAAATAGAGCTATGTTACTTAAAGTAATAAACTAATTGCTTAGATCACAAGGACGATTTGTTTTGAAGAGAGTGAGACACTGATTTTTTAACTTTGATTGCCACTGCCCCAATATCATGTAGAGATAAAGAAAATTCTACTATTAACATAGGTGCATCCTGGTCAAATGTGCTTCTTTCCATTCTAACTGCATCAATACTCTATAGGGGCATTAAAAAAATAAGTACCATCCATCCTTATGGAGCACAGATTTGCATACTTAAAAATCCAACAACTCACATACAAACACATTTTTTAAAACCTCACAATAGTACCCTTCAAGCTTTTGTCAAGCTCAGCCCCATTTTTATAATAGTGCCTGAAAATAAAGGGTTGCATGGCTTATTTTAGCCTTGTGTTTATAAATGGTTGACATTAAAAGAAGTCTTAAAGTCAATGTATGTATTTTTTCACTCTAGGTTATTTATCTCCTTTTAAACTCAAATATTCAAAATTCAAATAATATTAAAAATTTATATATTCAGTGAATATGTAAACTTTCTGAAAGACCACTTAATTACCACCCTCATTGACTTGCCATTACTCCCTTATCAGCACCAAGGCTGCTCCCTTTGGCCAGAGCAGTCACTCAAAGAGCTTTACCTTGTTCATCAATTGCTATTCAGAACCAAATCTTAGTGCATGCTGATTTTAGGTTTCTGAAGATTTGTCTGTCATTGTGACTAGATTATTTCACTGTTAGAATGTGGCTGCCTCAGGATGCCAATCCTCCAAAGTGACTTGAGCCTGAAAGAAAGCAAACAAGTGACTTTCTGTAAGTGTAAATAAGCAGGTTTTAGCTTCTCACCTAAGAAAGATCAGCAGCATTCCAATATGCTTCCTATTCATCCTGAGAGCAGTTCTTGGGTGCCTTTCCAATGCCAAGAGCAGCAGGAGCATGGCACCTTACAGAAGGGCATTCATTGAAAGAAGGATTTTAAAGCTAAGGCTTTGCATATACTTAAAGGTACAGTTGTTCTCATTTGAAATTTGAAGGATCAAAGGAAAGGCTGAGGGGAGACACTGAATTCAATGTGTGCTCCTTGCTTTGGTCCTGAGAAATGGAATTAGAGATGAGGATTAAAAACCCAGACAGCCAAGTAATTGTAAGCTTACAGGTGATTCTTTTTTCTAGTTTTCTATTTTTCTTAAATGTTTAAGAATGAGAATGTTTTACTTCCATGGTTAAGACAAAAGCAAACGAAAAACAAAAAAAAAACCACACTTATTATTTAGGATGTTTCAACCATAATCACAGAAACTCAAAGCAATTTTGGCTCAGCCATAAGAACAAGAATTGTTCCCTCACAGGGAGTCTGGAGGTGGTGGTTTGGTGGTAATTTTAGCCTCTCTGTGATGTCGCGTTTTTTGTTTTTTTTCTCTGTGATGTCTATTTCCCTCTTTTCTTGTTGTCTTTACAGTCTCCATCACTCTCTGCTGCCTGGTAACTGGTATTGGACACCTGGACATCTGCATCCCCGAGCCTTGAGAACCCAACACGTGTTCTGGAATGACTGGCAGTAGCACCCCACCACTCAACCCCCATATGAGAAGAAAAAGGCCTCCTGCCTCCTCTTCTTTCACCAGACACTGTGGGCCCACAATTCCCATGTGCACCCCAAAGATCCAAGCCACTAGCTCTCTCTCCACCTCTTGCAGGGTAGACCTTCTCCTTTTTTTTTGGCGGGAGCGGACAGAATCCCACTCTGTCACCCAGGCTAAAGTGCAGTGGCGCGATCTCGGCTTTTGTGTTATACAAGGCTCTTTATATCATGATTAACACAATAAGGTGCTTAATCATGAGTCTTAATGTGGCTGCATCCCACTCCCTAGGCTTCAAGGACAGAAATTGCATATTTTTGAAAAGGTTATTCTAATGTACACCTGGGTTTGTGATCCACTTATAAGCCCTCAAAACCACTAATCTGTTCTCCATAATTTTGTCATTTCTGGAATATCACATAAATGAAAACATACCATATGTAACTCTATGGGATTGGCTTTATTTTTTCACTCAGCATAATTTATCCAGGTTTTTTGTGTTTACCAATGGTATATTCTTTGTTATTGCCAAGCAGGATTCCTACCTATGAATGTATCCTAGTTTGTATAGCCATTAACTTATTGAACCACATTTCAGTTGTTTTGGCTCACTGCAACCTCTACCTCTTAGGCTCAAGCAATTCTCCCTGCCTCAGCCTCCCGAGTAGCTGGGACTGCAGGTGCGTACCAACACACTCGGCTAATTTTTGTATTTTTAGTAGAGATGGGGTTTCACCATGTTGGCCAGGCTGGTCTCAAACTCCTGAACTCAAGCGATCCACCCACCTCAGCCTCCCAAAGTGTTGGGATTACAGGCGTGAGCCACCACGACCAGCCAAGGTAGACCTTCTTAAGCCAGATTCCCATGACAGCCATAGGCCAGGATAAAACAGCCTTTACACCCAGCCTCCACAGTGAAACCTGTGTCTGTAGAGCAGACATGGGGAACCCAGATGCCGGGGGTGTCAGGCCTTTGGGCCTGCTCATCACCACAGCTCCAAAAAACAGTGTGAGGCCTGCTGGCCAGAACTGTGTGCTTCATGCAGAAAGAGAGGAAACAAAGTGTGTGTGTGTGTGTATTACTATCCTAGGAGACAGTAAGGACAAATCACACAGGATGCCCTAGCATACACCAGTGGGTTGAGGTTAGACATGTTTCCTTCCTCTGTAAGATACAGATAGAAACAACATCCTGGACAAGGTGGAAGGACTGATGAAAGGACACCTTATTCCAGGTTTGGGATTGAAAGGGAATGTGAAAATGAAAACAACATCTGGTTAACATTACTCAATAGACCCAGTGGAACCCAGTTTCCCTGTAGGGTGTAAATGGATTGCTATGTGCTGTTTGCATAACTGAGACGCTATTTTTAGGAACCATGTCATATGACAAACATAGGTCAAAAATATGCTCAACACAGAGAGATGCTAGGGAGGAGAGGCTGCGGAACTAAGAAAAAGTTAATTCTTAGTTTTCATGAAGAAGCAAGTATTTATTCATATCTCCTGTCTCACCCCAGAGGCTCTCCCTGAAGACAATTCTAATGGAACAGAATATGGCAAAATTCCAAGGTTTATAAAGAATTGCTCTCTTTCTCTCTCTCTCTCTATCTGTCTCTCTCTCTCTCTCTCTCTCTCTCTCTCAATCTCTCTCTCTCTCCCCAGAATGTACATCTTTAAATTTTTAAATTTATCTTAATTTCAATAGTGAATGATATCCCTCCTCTGGACTGACCTGGAGAAGGAAGTAGTTTAATGCAAAAATCATAGGATGGGAAGCAGGGAAGCAAATAACGATTTCCTTGGCCCAGAGAAAGCCTGGGGTGCCTCTTGTTCAGCCTCCCTCTCTGAACGTCCATGCTCCCTCCTTCTTTTCATTTTAAAAAAGATTTTTCAAAATGGCTAAACCTCAAGTACTGAGAAAATTACTGGAAATCACTCCCTGTTCGTGGAAAAGGAGGGTTGATTGTGTTTCTTACACAACTTTCAAAAGCTGCTGTTATCATAACCTTGGCATTTTGTTTGCTTGTTTGATGATTGTTTTGGAAAAGAGTTGACTTAGGTGCCTTGGCATTTTATTTGCTTGTTCAATTACTGTTTTGGAAGAGTTTACTTTAGATGAGAGGCTGAGAGGGAGGGGGAGAGGAAAATAAGATCTAAGAATATAGTTGAAAAGCACTGCAGTACTCTTTATTGCTGCCCACAGCAACCCACAGGCTCTGGGGTGCTATCCTCAGAAACATGCAGTCAATGATAATGCCTTATTTCTGCTAAGAAGAAAAGTACATTATTCAGAAGAGAGAGACAGTCATGTTTCCTGATATAAAAGAGTATTTTGTATTGTACAATGTAAAGAATTGTACGCAACTGAACACACTTGCTGACAGATCCAGTTTCTGAGAAATAACCTTTCTTCCCTAGCAAGTCACCTCATTGGGAATTGAGAAACCAACAGCCATTCCTCTTTAAAACCTGAGAGTCAAACCACAAAACTATCCACCTCATTTAGTCTTTATCACACCCATAAATAAGTATAAATAATAATACTCTCATCTTGGAGTCTTTAAAAATATTCCACCAGTGTATATTTGTTTTTATTTCCTTTTGTGTCTTTCTCACTCAACTCCCTGTTTTGTTCCATTGGTTTATAATTAAAGCCCCAGACTGAGGTCAGAAAGGAAAATGTAGTTACTGAGTGTCCCGATCTGAAGACTAGCAAAGTATTTTCTCCCTGGGGGTGAGGGTTGAGGATGGGCAGTGGAAAGAGTGCTAGGAGAGAGCAGAACAGAAAGGTGGGTGGATCATGAGCCTGGAGAGATTCTGCTACAGGATCCAAAATAAATATGTTTCCTCTTGCTTAATTACCAGATCAGCAAGACTCTGGTAGGGAAGGCCCCTCTATCCCAAGTGTTGGGTGAATGCTGCTTATTGTTGCTCTTTTTTTTAACTATTTGATTTCATAACATCATTTTAAGTAATGCTTAATTTGGATCTGTCTTTGGTCTCCCCAAGAGTAATCATATTCTAGATTATGATAATTATATGCTAGTATAATGATCAATCTTCACTTATCTATACATGCCATAATACATATAATTATATCCTTTAATAGCATCATGTTTCTAAGAGGTATACAAAGTACAACCATTCACAACTCTTCCTTAATATTTTCAATCACTGCATTACATAATACTCAGTTGATTCTTTTTTTGTTAGTTTGTCTGGTTGATTGGTTGATTTTTTTCTATTTATAATTGAAAATAAAGTAATCACAAGTTTGGTTCACCTGAAAGAGAATGGCAAATGACCAAAGCATGGTGTCACCAGGTGGCAATCAATGCCCTCATCACATGCTTTGAATAACCAAGTGTAGGTCCTCACTGTTGGTATTTCTGTTATTAATACTAATAGTAACATCAATAATGATAGGCATATTTTACTCAGTGTTTTGTTAGAGATTCTTTATGTGGATTTTCTCACTTAATCTCCAAAAGTCTCGGCTTCTTTTTATACCTAAACACACAACTACCATGTGATCTAGCCATTGTATATTTGGACTTTTATCCCAGAGAAATGAAGATGGATGTTCACACAACAACTTGTACACAAATGTTTGTAGAAGCTTTATTCATAATAGCCAAATTGTGGAAACAACTCACATGTCCTTCAATGAGTTAATGGCTATACAATCTATGATACTTTCATATGTAGAAATACTGCCTGGCAATAACAAAGAATGTACTATTGGTAAACACAAAAAACCTGGATGAATTATGCCGAGACAAAAAAAGAGCCAATCCCATAGAGTTACATACTGTATGATGTTACTTATGTGACATTCCAGAAATGACAAAATTATGGAGAACAGGTTAGTGGTTTCCAGGGGTTATAAGTGGATCACAAACCCAGCTGTACATTAGAATAACCTTTTCAAAAATATGCAATTTCTGTCCTTCTTCTTGAAGCCTAGGGAGTGGGATGCAGACACGTTAAGTTTCATAATTAAGCATCTTATTGTGTTAATCATGATATAAAAAGCCTTGTATAACACATCACTGAGGATGAACTTTACTCAGAGAAACAAACAGGGTTTCACAGAGTGATTCAAAATAATCATAAGAGTGAAATGAATATACTAATATTTTAGAAATAAAACTGTGGCTGAAATGTTGAGAGTGATTAGGAGAGAGGCTTGACTTGAAGTGATCTTGAAGCAAGATCACTTAGGGGTCTACTGCAATAGTCCGGGTAATGATCCGTGAGGATCTGAGCTGTAGTAGTGGTGATGGAAAAAGGAAAAAGGCATTTAAGTTTAAACAATATTAGCATGTTTAACAGAACCTGAGATCACTCTATTTCAAAGTTTAATATATTACATACTAGGATTATTTAAGGGCTATGGAAGAAATACTTTGGAGATGCAAAATGAGAAGGCTGGTTTTAGGGCTGGATAGAGATGAGGGTTGACATTAAGAACTCTATCTTAGATGACCTGAGATGGTAGCATCTTTGACTAAGAGAGAAAAGACATGATGACAAGACCAAAGAGGAGCAATTTTAGAAGATAATGAGATCCTTTGGGTGTCTGTGGAAATCCAAGTGGAGTTACTTGGTTGGTAGGTGGTGATGTGAGTCTGAATCTCTGGTATGAGTTCTGAGGGTAAAGACTTGGCAGTTAACAGCTTACAGTCAGTACTTCAAGCCATGAGGGCAGGTACAACCACTATGGGGAGTAGTCCACTGGGAAAACAATGGGCTGTAGAAAGAAAATCAAAATATTAGGAAGCCTCATAACATAAATAGCCAACCCAGGGAGTATACCCAGTGAGGAGTCAAAGAGTCAATAACACAGAAGAAAGTCCTAGAGGTTAAGAAAACTTGGCATCTTGAGAAGCATTAATGATAGCAACATAATATGTTAAATTTGAAACTGCAAGTTAAATTCATGACCATAAAAATATATGTAGTTTCTCCAGATCAGAATCTACAAATGAGCCAAGAATAGAAGAAACCTCTTGCCAGCCATCACTACCCATAGTGTCCAGATTTTCACCTTCAACACCAATTCCATACTAAAGAAATCCAGGAGATAGGCAGGGGTTGGCTGTTGATTCTCAATCCTGAGACAACAAACAGACAACAAAGTAAATCAGAAGAGGTTATAATTTTTGACTGTTGCCAGAAAGCAAGCAAGGATGCTTAAAAAAAACAATGTTTAAAAATTCAGCATGACATTCAAAAGGCAGAAAACAGTTTAACACTTAGTTAACATGATTTAATTGGATGTATTTTAATGATCTTGAGTACCAAAAACAGCAACAAAAAAAATAATGATTATTATAGATAATTACAATAAGTTAGTGAAAAGCATTGAGTTAGTACTATTACTGACATTATTATAATATGTAATATTATGATTACCAGTATGAAATGCAACATTGAAGACTATAATAGGATATGTATTTTAATTATTTTTAATATGTAGGGGATATTTATTACATATAGATATTTCATATTCTATTAAAATCTAGTGTTTTTATTAATCATAATCATTGACAGTTTTAAATTATGTATATGTGTGTATTTATAGTAACAAATTAGTAAAATCATGAAAAATGAAGAGTCTGTTGTGTTGATATTTTAGAATATATTAAGAAGAAAGTATAGTAGTAAGATATTTTACAATAATTGAATTTGTATGCATTATTTTTATCATATCTGGTACTTTAACATTAAAAAGAGCCAGATATACTAAATTTTAAAGTTTGCTATTTAAATCAATAAAGTTAACAAAGCTAGTAACAGGTGATCAAAGCTTAAAAATTATTTTCTAAGTTGCTATTTTTAGGAATAACAATTGCTGGGGTCATCTTCATGAAGTGCCTCAGATGCTATAAATTATTGAACTAGAAGAAAACAGCTAGAAGGACTAGAACACAACAAATATGCAGGCTTCAACCACAGGTCTTCATAGACAGGCAAGTTGGAAAAATAATGCAGGACAGAAGCAAGGCTTAAATACATTTGGTGATAACAATTATGGGGAGGCATCCTGGATGGAAGAGTTCATTATAAAATTACCTTTGGCTACTGTGTGACTTGAATCTAGATGTCTGGTTCCTGGAGGGCATGGACTCAGATCACAGCTTGACATAAAGATGCTGGAAAAACCTCAAGGAGTCCCTCTGGGTGGTGAGAATAACCTCTGTGATATTTGCAGTTCCAGATTGTTTCTCAATTGAACATTTCTGGTCAACAAGTAATCACACCCCACCGAGGAAAGACCCTTGATCACTGTGGGACAAAAACTCCCCACTTGCTTGGGCAATTGGCCCTGATTGCTGCAGAGAGTAAAGCTATTTCCTCAGTGGGCATTTCATACTAGGAAGGTTTAGAAATAAGAATCAAGATATTGAAGTGAATCAAGCCTCTAGTAATATTTTAGTGTTAAGCTATAGATGGAATTGTAATATATTTTGTATTTAAGTATTTGAAATATTTAAATTTGGCACACTGGGGTGACAGATTAGCCTTGTGGTCTAAATTAAAACATACAACTTAGAAAATAATATAGGCTTGTGATATTAATTGAACAATGAGAACACTTGGACACAGGAAGGGGAACATCACAGGATGGATAGCATTAGGAGATATATCTAATGTAAATGACGAGTTAATGGGTGCAGCACACCAACATGGCACATGTATACATATGTAAAAAACCTGCACGTTGTGCACATGTACCCTAGAACTTAAAGTATAATAAAAAATATATATATAAAATTAAGTTGAAAGATTTAAAAAGACATTTAAGTTTAAACAATATTAGCATGTTTAACAGAACGTCAGATCACTCTATTTCAAAGTTGAATATATTACATTTATTAGTATTATTTAAGCACTTATAGTTTTTGTAATGTAGCATCTCAATAGCTTTAAAATAAATCAAAACATTAAATTTATAATGCAGTTTAAAATATTTGAAAAAGTTTAATTTAGCTTAAATTGTAAAATGTATTAGCTTTATAAATATAATATTGAGGTTTGTAAGTTAAACGCCTAGGAAAAAATGGATCTTGAATGTTTCATTTCAATTAAATTGAAATATTAGTTAAAAATAAGTGGGCAAATGGAGTGTTTATCTCTACTAAGGCCACATTTCGGGCAATGGAAATTTATCTTAACCCAGTGGACTGAGAAATTACTTGAATTTAGTGGACACAGACTATTCTCGTGATGTGTATTTACGAATGGGAGCAGGAAGATAGAGCTCTATCAGTTACAACTCACAGTGGCAATGAACTAGAGAAACCAACAGCACCCTTGAGAGCTCTCCAAAGCATAGTGCTGAATGAAGAAAACTAAGAAACAAACTCTACGGCACAATAGGATGTGAATTTAAGATGCGTGTGTATACAAACTTTTACCATCTATTTTTCAAAGATGTCACCCAAGGACGTGAATCAATCAATTAGATGGGGTCGGGGAGGCAGTGCAGGAGAATTTAGTGGAGACAGAGATAAGGATAGAGATGGGAAAAGTTTAAGAGACAGCCATGCATGAACCAATATTTATGTGCCATTGACTGGGGATTAGACAGAATTCTTTGCTACCTAAGTTTTAGAGAAGAAAACTCAAGAACATAAAACTCTCATCAGCATACACTTTACTTCTGATTTTATTTATAGAAGGACTGTAGATTAAGTTTGTGTGTTGGAGGTGTGAAAATAGTTGACATCAAATTCACTCAGAATCATCCAGCTCAGAGGAGAATTACTTTTCCGGGTAACTGTGCTTCTAAATATAACTTTCTCTTGTGCCTGTGCTGTTATTAGTATCTGATAATTACGAGAAACGTGATGGAAGTTTGCAATTCCAGAAGTGTGGCTGAAGATTAGATTTTGTTTACAAAATGCTGCTGCTTTAGTCCATTGGTAGGACTAACTTTGGAAGAAAGGATCAGCTCTCTGCACATGAAATTCAGCAATTAATTTTTAGGCCTCATTTCTCCTGTTTGTCAAAGTATGAAGCAATGTTAGGGTTTGATAAGGCTGAATTCCTGCAGAAAGATCTTTTATTTTCATATTCTGATACTTGTAACTTTTCTCCAGGGCCAGCTGCAACTGAGCAAACAGAGGTCAGACCTCCCTGGCCTTTGGAATAGGCAATGTTGACAGACTGAGGGAACATTTCTGCCATTTCCCTGAATGACAATGCTCAGCAGGGACATGGAAAGCATAGGAACTCGTGGCTGAGAAAGCAGAACTAACAAGCTCAAGACCGTTAGTCCAGGTAATGGCAAGGATCATACAATGCACTCACCGACCCACTTAATTTTCTTTCTAGGGCTCTGCCTTAGACTAATTTTCCTGTCCTCTCTTGAGTTTGGGTTGGGGTCATGTGATTCAGTTCTGGCCAATAAAATGATGTGAATCTGGGGTCATGTGACTGAGTTCTGATCAATGAAAATTATGTGAGTAGGGGGTCATGTGACTGAGTGCTGGCAAATGAAAATAATTTTACTATGGGGTTATGTGACTGAGTTCTTACCAATCAAAATTATGAGTCCAACCATAAATATCATAAAGGAGATTCCATGATGTATTTTTTCATTGTGGAGTGACCTCAGTCTTTAACTTAAACGTGGAAAGAATCTGGGTCTCTTTAAAAAGTGCAGAACAGAGCCTCTCCACCACTCAATACAATTTGTACTGGAATTTGAAGAAGAAATACATCTGTGTTTTGGAAAATTGCTGATGCCACTAAAATTTGGAGATTGCCTGTACAGCCATTAGGAAACCTTTACTACTAACCAGCGAATGATACAGAGAGAGAGAAAGTTGGGTTAACCCTGGGCTGGCCAAAATACACCAGGTAAGAACTTCACCATGTGGGACATTCACCCCTCTCACTGAGGGGATCTCAGTTCTCAGAGTAAAATGAATATTTTTGCAAAATATGTGTGAAGAAAGAAAAATAATAATGGTAGAAAATAATAAGCAAGTATTACTGCTTTCCACACAGTAGAAGGAAGAGTGTAGGAAGATCAGGTAAAGACAATTTGAGATATATGAAATGTGCTTTTTTATGAAACCTTGATGGTCTGCTTTAATGTTTTCATACTATCTGAAGCTCTAGGGGAAATGTTATTGTGAAATTGTAATTTCTCCGATGCTGAGTTGCTTTTCAGCAGGCAGACTGCCTGAATTTAAATCCTGGATCTGTCAGTGCCTGGTCTTATGCACAATATTTTACCTCCCTTTCCCAGCTTCCACTTCTACTAAATGGGGCTAATAAAGAACATATCACCTCAGAGATATTTAGTGAGGGTTGCATAGAAATTTTGGTATATTTACAATAGTACCAGACATACAGTGATTCTCAGAAAATATAAACAATTATGTAAGAAGACTGGGAAATGATATGTTAGGCAATTTAATTTGGTTTTAATTGAATTTTCTTTTTTTTCTTTCTTTTTTTTTTGGAGACGGGGTCTTACTCTGTTGCCCAGGCTGGAGTGCAGTGGTGCAATCTCAGCTCACTGCAACCTCTGCCTCCCGGGTTCAAATGATCTTCCTGCTTCAGCACCCCCTAGTAGCTGGGATTACAGGTGCACGCCCCCATGCTCAGCTAATTTTTGTATTTTTAGTAGAGATGGGGTTTCACCATGTTGGCCAGGCTGGTCTTGAACTCCTGACCTCAGGTGATCCACCTACCTTGGCCTCCCAAAGTGCTGGGATTACAGGTGTGAGCCACCACGCCTGGCCGTTAATTGAATTTTCACATAAAGCAAATTAAAATTCCAATTTTGCTCCATCGTGTTGTTGTAAAAGCGTGTGCACACACAGTATCTGCTAAGCATGTAGCCTTTTTGCCAGGATTTTACTGTTGTCTCATTGAGTACTTGTTGTATCCTAGATGCTTATCTATGCATTTACTTATCTTTTTCTCACGGAGACACTTGGTTACCCATCTTTTACAGGTGAAGGCCAAGGCTTCTGTGGTCAAAGAACCTGCCCAAAGACACACCACTATTGAACTCAGACCCTGCGAACTCTCCACCCTGCCTGGGAGTTGCTGAGCTGTCAGGCCAGGGGCTGTGCACGTGAGTGCAAGTAGACCTTGTCATCAAGGTGGTATTCAATTGTGCTTTTAAAAAATGCAATAAACCCATTATTGTGAAGTTGAACATTTTTCTCCATATCATGCCAAGCCCTAAACTGCTCAGAGATCTAAACATACTTTCTTTTAAGTACCAGTGGGACAGTTTTTAATCCTTGCCAGGGGACATATAACACCATCTTGCAAGCTGGTGGCTGTATCTCGAAGGCCCTGTATGAAATGATAGTGACGTAGGGGTAGCTCAAGGAGGGGATGGGAATCCAAGTGAGACTGTACAGATGAGCCCCTTCAAACCACGTGGCTCAGCACAGGCAGCAAGAGGACCCACAGTCTACTGCGAGCACAGTGAGAAGGCAATCAAGTGTTTCTCACAGATAACGATATCCGGCATCTACATAACACCCACTGCATAGCAGTTACCATTCTAAATTCTCTACTTGCCTTGAGATATTTAATCCTCACCTCTTCCCCAAGAAGTAAGTACTATTGTTATCTCCATTCTTACAGATGAGGAGACAGAAACTAAAAAGATCAGGTGGGCTGAGCAAAGTCATACAGGTATTAGGCGCTGGAGCCATATCAGCTCAAGAGTTCATCCTGGAAATCAGTATGCTACCAGGACTCTTTGAGCATTTGTAGTGTACTAATGCATATAATCCTAGCAATAATCCTAGAATGTGTCATCATTGCTATTTAAAGAAGGGGAAACTGAGGCCTAGAAATTTTCAAAAGGAAAGCATTTTAGCTGATCTTGACATTATCAACCAGAGTAATAGCTATCATTGTAATCAACATTCACTGAGCATTTTCTTTCTTTCTTTTTTTTTTTTTTTTGAGACGGAGTCTCCCTTTGTTACCCAGGCTGGAGTGCAGTGGCACTATCTCGGCTCACTGCAAGCTCCACCTCCCACGTTCATGCTATTCTCCTGCCTCAGCCTCCGGAGTAGCTGGGACTATAGGCGCCTACCACAACGCCTGGCTAATTTTTTGTATTTTTTAGTAGAGACGGGGTTTCACTGTGTTAGCCAGGATAGTCTCGATCTCCTGACCTCGTAATCCGCCCACCTCGGCCTCCCAAAATGCTGGGATTACAGGTGTGAGCCACCGCGCCCAGCTCACTGAGCATTTTCTATGGGCCAGGCACTTATTAGATTCCCATGATAACTTCATGATGTAAATCCTCTTATTATCTCTGTTCTGCAAATAAGGTAACTGAGGCACAAAGAGCTTAAGTAGCTGCCCTAGATTAGTAAGTGCAAAACAGATACTTGACCCCACAGGTCAGGTCTAAATTTCCACTCATAACACGGGTGAACACACATACTTGCTCACACACACATACAAAGCACACTGTTACATACCATTCTATTTTTACCTTCTATTCAGTGTGTTCCGTGTTGCACACAAAATCCTAAGTACTCCCATGTGTAGGTGTTCAGGGTCCCCCTCTCTATTGTTGCCAGATGCAGGGGCCTTAAATTACTCCTGGAGCTCTTTTATCTTCATTTCAAGGCAAACCCTAAGCTGTCCATAGAGACAATTGTAGGACACTGAGCAATTGTGGAAGATGGAAAGATGAATTTGCTGTTTGCTTTCTCTTTTTTTTTTTTTTTGAGATGGAATCTCACTGTGTCACTCAGGCTGGAGTGCAGTGGTGCAATCTCGGCTCACTGCAACCTCCACCTCCTGGGATCAAGCAATTCTCCTGTCTCAGCCTCCTGAGTAGCTAGGACTACAGGCGCCTGCCACCACGCCCAGCTAATTTTTGTAGTTTTAGTAGAGACGGGGTTTCACCTTGTTGGTCAGGCTGGGCTCGAACTCCTGACCTCAGGTGATCCACCCGCCTTGGCCTCCCAAAGTGTTGGGATTACAGGCGTGAGCCACCGTGTCTGGCTGCCGTTTGCTTTCTTAAGGAAATAAACTTACCAGCCACTACAATAGCAAGAGACGCAGAGTGTGATGAGCTTTTAACACTGGGCCTGGGGACTGAAATCTCAACCCAGAGGTATATGTAGGCTCTGCCCCACTGTTTGCTCCTGTGGTGGAAGCTGAGGAAGATAAGGCCAGGATTCCCTGCAAATGGTAAAGGATTTCAAAATACCTGCTGTCTTCCGCTGGCCCTCATAAAGCTGCCTTCTTCTGCTGCCATTTAAAGGGGGAAAAAAACCTACAGAAACGAATGGTTCCAGAGAAAATGTGTGCATGGAGAAATGTGGCGAGGCCCACCTGCCCCAGCAGAGAACTTGATTTGTGCATAAGTTAATTGGTTAGAAAAAATATCTCCGAACTGGGGGAATTACCAGGCCTTAGAGTCCCTGCACTTCAGCCTCCAAACCCAATTCTTTATAAAAAGAGTAATGTATTCATGAAACAGATCATATCTGGGGGAGTAAATGAGTCATAATGTAATAATTACAGCTTAACAACAATAATTGCAAATGCAATTCCTATGACCCATCCTTCATTTAATTGTGAGGACAGGACTACAACATTTTTTAAAAAGGATGCGATCATTTAAAAACAGAAAGTTTGAACCACTCTGTAACCAAGTTTTCAGAGTAAAGTTTACTTCAACAAACTGACCTAAATATTTCTTTTTGAAATATTTTGTTCAGCAAAAATTTGGGAAGACCTAGTAGCATTAAAACTCTGAGTGCGTTTAGTAAGACAGGCAGCAAACAGAGCAGCTAGATTTATTCAACTCACTGAACACGGGTGATATTAAGTGGTGCTCACAGAATACATCTTGGGATCAAAATGAAGCCTTTCTTTTAAACTCACCTGATCTAATGAAATTCATGTTATAAATTAAAGGTTAGTGTATGTATTAGTTTTGACTCAAAATACAAGATGATGGCAAATGGATTAACTTGACAGATGTACAGGGAAATTGTATTAGGTTCACCCAGGTAACAGAAACGAAGTTGGTGTAAGAAAAGTGATACGATTTTAGGTAACAGGGTTTCCAAAACGCATTGATCCAATAGAATATTTTCAAGAAGGAAATGTGTAGAGAGCATTCAAAATGGGACCACAGAGAGAAGCTGGCTCTTCACCTGCTGTTGCCCCACAAACTTGGACTGAGAAATACAAAAGCCTCAAGAATTTGTAATTGTCAGTAACTGGCAATTTCATACCTTCCTTTTTCTCAAACTGAAATGCGGCCAGGTGCGGTGGCTTACGCCTGTAATCCCAGCACTTTGGGAGGCCCAGGCGGGCAGATCACAATGTCAAGAGATGGAGACAATCCTGGCCAACATAGTGAAACCCCATCTCCACTAAAAATACAAAAATTAACTGAGTGTGGTGGCACACGCCTGTAATCCCAGCTATTCAGGAGGTTGAGGCAGGAGAATCACTTGAACCCAGGAGGCGGAGGTTGCAGTGAACCGAGATCGCGCCACTGCACTCCAGCCTGGGCAACAGAGCGAGACTCCATCTCAAAAAAAAAAAAAGAAAAAAAGATGTGGTGATTTTTTTGAAAAGGAGTGGTTCATTCAGTTAAATGGGAAGAGTTGTAATCCCAGCTACTCAGGAGGCTGAGGCAGGAGAATCTCTTGAACCCGGGAGGGAGAGATTGCAGTGAGCCAAGATCATGCCTCTGCACTCCAGCCTGCTGACAGAGCAAGCTCTGTCCCTATGAGGAATACAAAGATTAGCTGGGCGTGGTGGTGTGTGCCTGTGGTCCTGGCTACTCCAGAGGCTGAGGTGGGAGGATCGCTTGAGTCTGGGAGGCAGAGGCTGCACTGAGCTATGATCATGGCACTGCACTCCAGCCTGGGTGGCAGTGCAAGACCTTGTCTCAGAATAAATAAATAAAGTATGTGATGAAGATGTGCATATGTTACATGCAAATACTATTTTTTTAAAATTTTATTATTGTTATACTTTAAGTTTTAGGGTACATGTGCACAACGTGCAGGTTTGTTACATATGTATTTTTTTTTTAACAGAATCTCACTCTGTTGCCCAGGATGGAGTGCAGTGGTGCCATCTTGGCTCTCTGCAGCCTCCGCCTCCTGGGTTCAAGAGGTTCTCAGGCCTCAGCTGCCCGAGTGGCTGGGATTGCAGGCACCTGCCACCAGGCCCAGCTAATTTTTGTATTTCTTAGTGGAGACTGGTTTTGTGGTGTTGGCCAGGCTGGTCTCGAACTCCTGATCTCGGGTGATCTGCCTGCCTCGGCCTCACAAAGTGCTAGGATTACAGGCGTGAACCACTGCACCCAGCCTTATGTCATTTTATCTAAGGGACTTAAGCATCCTCAGGTCCTAGGGGGTCGTGAAACCAAAACCCCATGGATAGCAAGGGACAATTATATCTTCAAATTAGACAAATGGTACCGGGCACAGTGGCTCACGCCTGTAATCTCAGCACTTTGGGAGGCTGAGGCAGGTGGATTGCCTGGGGTTAGGAGTTGAAGGCCAGCCTGGCCAACATGCTGAAATCCTGACTCTGCAGAAATGCAAGGATGGCTGGACGTGGTGGCCCGTGCCTGTGGTTCCAGCTGCTTGCGCAGCTTGAGGGGGAGAGTCACTTGAGCCTCGGAGGCGGGGGTTGTGGTGGGCTGGGATGTTGCCACTGTGCTCCAGCCTGGGTGATGGAGTGAGACTCCATCTCAAAAACAAAACAAAACAAAACAAAATTAGACAAATGCTACATTAATGTTTGGGTGGTCAGATTCTACTTTGAAGTCTGAAGTTTGCAGATATGCCTGTAGATTTTTGGAGTTTACCACTTTCTTATTCTGTATCATTAATGTAATATTTTAAATTACTATATATTTTACCGTTTTTCTGTATTTGGTAGGAAATTTGCTTTTTGATTTGATGAACAAAGGTTTTAACGTAATTTATGTTAGATTTTGCATTTTTTTCATTACTGTTATACTTTAACCTGACTGAATGACTGATTTAATTGTATTAATATTGTGAATAGTCATGTGGAATGTTTTGAGACAGAGTACTATATTTGTGAATATAACTTTATGGCTTTTTTCACTTAGTAGGAACCTTTCTATCAGTGTGGAAAGCTAAGAAAATTGCTTTCTGCTGTATAATCTGGCATTCATTGTAGATTAAAGCTTATTTTTCTGTGAACAAAACTTATTCAATAAAATACTATTCTTTAAAAAACAAAAAACAAAAAAACTGAAATGCAAGGAGGGTCAAGTCAGTGTGGGTGTGTCTCTCTCTCTTTTCTAGCTGAATATAAACGCTACCATGTTGTGAGTCTATCAAGTCGAGAGCATTTGCCATCTAAGGGGAAAGTGGAGGATTCATACCTGTCCTAGCCAATTATCATGTCAGAATCTAGACTCAAATTTTGTGACTTTGAGAAGTCTGGAAATCTAGATTTTTATGTAAAATCTCCCATTTTTAAATTTTGGTAACTAATTTAAAAACATTTCAGCCTGCAAACTACGGGTACCCTCTACATTATCTTATGGCAGAAACTTTTTTCTTAAGAGTTGACAGAGAGAGACTGTTCTTGCAGTTTCATGAGGAGGTGGAGGATAAGGAGTATCATAATTTTCCCCATTTTCTGGGGTTTGACACAGAGGACTCATATTAAGAGTGCTATTTTTGCCCACACATTATCTTTGAATTATCTTCTATGAGCAGACAAAAGTTCTTGGTTGCTTTTCTTATCGCCTGAGGCTACTCTAACTTTTGATTTTTGCCTTATATTTCTGTGAAGTGTGACTTTGGGCTGGCTGCCTACTTTCCATGTCTCCTTGAGTGCACCTGGGAAATAGAACATATATTTGTCCTGGGTGGAAATGTCTGATATTAGTCTATCTGGGAATACAGTAGATATTTGTTCATACCATCCAAGACAACTGGACTCCATTCAGCTTTGAAAAGCTGCATATATTAAGGTTCCATAAACACCTCCAGTGCCGATTTGTAGAATTTACTATCCCTTGTTTGGTGATAATGTCTGCCTGTTCAGCCCATATCATTAATGCTGGGATTAGGCCATGTGGTATAATAAAGGCAACCATGGCCAGACAATTATGCAGATGTGGGTTCCAGCTATGGCTTTGACATACAACCATTTATTTTCCTGGTGACCTTGAGCATATCCCTTCCCCTCTCCAGTTCAGTTAAATGTAAAATCACAAACTAAAACACCAACCAATTAAAAAAAACCCAAGGCTGGACAAATACAGTCAGCCACAAATCATCTTCATAACTTTCTAGCATATTTCAGTATCACTTGAATTGTTATCTAATATTGAAAGTGGATTGACTGGGTGCAGTGGCTCATACCTGTAATCCTAGCACTTTGGGAGGCCTAGGTGGGAGGATCGCTTGATCTCAGGAGTTTGAGACCAGCCTGGACAATACAGGGAGACCCTATGGCTACAAAAAAATAAATAATTAGCTGTGCGTGGTAGTACATGCTTGCAGCCTCAGCTACTTGAGGGGCTGAAGGCAGAGGATGACTTGAGCTCGAGATGTTGAAGCCGCAGCAAAGAGTGTTCACGCCACTGCACTCCAGTCTGGGTGACAGAGTGAGACCCTGTCTCAAAAAAGAAAGTGGATCACTCTGAAAACTTAAATGTTTATTTTAAAAGGAACATTTCTGTCATGGCTGTTCATAGGTAAGTGACATAAATCAACATAAATAGAGGTTGTGCTATTTAGGTTTCAACGGGAGCCTAGGTGGGTGGATTTACAGGTCATACAGATTTGGATGGGGTTTAGGGAACACTTCCTTAGGTATACAAGGGTGAGGGGGTGGGAAAGGTTACTAGAAATGGGAAGAAGAGGAAGTCATGTAGATCGGCACCCAAGGGACAGAGCCAGCTTGTGGTGACCTGCAATGGAGAAAGTCAAGAGGAAAATTGCTTTGACCTCACTTTCTTGCCTCCCTCCAGTCTTCCCCTGGGGGTTCAGCTAGCCCAGTGGGGAGCCAGAGAGCCTGAAACCCCAGTGGTGTTGTCCATTCAGGACAGCCTCCCAGGACAGAGGGCAGGATGCAGAAGAGTGGAGAGTTTGGGGAAGAGCAAACCCTGAATAGAAGGTAACTGGGAAGATACAAAAACAAGCTGAAGTTAATAAATGTCTTATGGATGCTGTGTCTGCTGAGGGCTGTGAGCTGGAGATCAGAATTCTCTTTGCAAAAAAGGAGATAAGCCGTGTTAAAACATGGCTGTACAAAACTGAGATTTTTCACAGAGTATAATCAAAATAATTTTAAAAAGGGATTGAAAAGGCAGTGGCATTGTCACTATTTAATTCAAGATATTTAATGCCTTGTTCATACTCATGTTGCCAGAGCTTTTCAATATTCCTCAACTTTGGAAATGCTAGGCTACATGATTTCTAAGTTATCGTCTTCTTCATCCTCTGCTAAGGCAGATAAAAATACTGTAGTGAAATCGCCCTTTTCACATCAACTCTTTATCATAAATTGGTATGTCTCAGTTATCCAAATATCTGGCCAAAGATGTAAAGAATTCCAAATATATTTTAATATTTTTCAGAGAATTGTACCTTATAAAAAGGTGCTATGATTCAACAATATCTATTGCTTCCTTTATATATGAGGTATTTGTCTGCAAACTATATTCAATCTATTTTACTATTATAATCCAGAAAGAAATTTAGGCATTTGTGCATTGCCTTAGAGACATGGAAGATAATTACATGGTTGATGTTTAGAAGGGCTGGACCACCTTTGATGGAATGCATAATAAAACAGCTTTGAATGTATTAATAATTAATTCCATGGATATCAATGAGTGTTGGTGCTAGGACAAGTAAGTTAGAAAACATATAGAATTGTGTGTACATTAGAACTGATTTCAGTATAACTTCTCTCCCATTTAGTTGCCAAATCTAAGGGACAGATGAGCACGGTCTCTCATATCCTAATCTCCTCTGATTTTATTCTTGATAAAGAATGAAATCTTTCTTTCTTTCTTTCACTTAAACTTACAAATTTTTTTCTGCCTCAGGGATTTTCACCTTTTGATTTCTTTATCTGGATGACTCTTCCCCTAAGTCAAGGGTTGGCAAACTTTGGCCCATGAACCGTATATGCCCAACTGGCTGTTTTTGTAAATAAAGCTTTATTGGAATAAATCAACACTCAATCACTAAGTATTGTCTATGACAGTTTTTGCACTGCAAAGTCATTATGCCAAAGACTGTGTGCCTGGCAAAGCCAAGCATTTGCACTGCCTAGCTCTTTACAGATGAGTTTGCTCACCTCTGCCCTGGATCTTCACATGACTGACTTTTTAAATCACAGGGTTTACATTGTATGCTACTTCTTAGGAGATGACTTCCCTGAATACTCCATCTCCCTTTGAAATCCTATGCGAGGACTCTGTTGCCAGATTATCTGAGTTGTGAAGAGAAGCCATAAATCTGACTTTAAAAAAAAAGTGTCAAATTCCCCTTCTCTCACACACACAGAGAAAAAGAAAACCTTTGTGGGGCAAAATGTATTATATCTTTCAATCGTATTTAGCCAACAACACTCCAGCCTACAATCACTAATGTAAAGTATCCAGGACTGGCAACACAGAACTGAGTAAACACCCATGGTGTTCTTGGACTTATTTATGTAAAGAAGGCCAGGGGAGGATAGAAAATGTTGGAAAGAGCACTGATTATTATGAGAAGATGTTGGAAAAATGTGTTTATATCTAATTCTTACTTCTCAGAAACAAAGAATAGTGATGTGGTTGAGTCTGAGCTGCTAAATTTGGGGCAGGATACAGCCCTTCCAGCCAACTCACAGGTATTGGTTTGTGGTAGATATCAATAATCAAGAGTACCTCTGCCCCAGGCCCACAGCCCAGCCTCACAGACGTTCCCAACACAACACTTCAGACGCCAAGATCTGGGACCCAGGATTAAATCCATTTGCCATATCTGGGTGCAAACCCAGCTCAAATGTCACTTCTTCCATGTCCTCTCTTCCTGGACAAGGTTAGTCACTCCTCATCTCTGCTCCTATAATACTTTGCAGATAACTCCAGCATTATTCTTGTCAATGTTTTGCTTGTTGGTTTTTTCCTGGTCTTGTGAATACCCTCCATGCTACATGGTTATTACCCAATAAATATTTCTTGAATACATGAACAGCAAATGGAGGCAGGTAAAAGCCATCCCCCGCAGAGACCCAGAGACTACACTTGAAGGAGTCTTTGAGAAACACAAGCACCATTTCTTTCTCCTGCCTAGTGGATGGCTGGATGACAGAATCAGAAGGAAACCATTTTCCTCTCTGCTTTGAAGCAGCACCACTTGTCACTTTTGGCTTGCAGGTACTTTTCCATCATCACTGAGTGTTGGAGATTCTGCCTTCATCTATTTTAAGAATAGTGCATTTAAGAAAGTGCAGTTTTTGCTAAGCTCTGACCATGACTACAAGGATGACCTTCTTGATATCAGCATTTGTGCCATTTTTGTAATTGTGTGGCCATGTAATGTGTTCTACTGATTAAAAGTGTCATTGCAACCAGCTTTCAATTTTGAACACATGGAAAGAAGTTAACCACAGGGTCTAGTAGAAGTTTGTTAGCTGCTTTATTTTGCTAATAGATTTTTTTGTCCCCCAACACTAGTACTTGTAAGTGAGCCTGCTCTTAATTGAGGGGAGGGATGATTGGGCAATAACACCTTTCTCCAGGAGCAGTCTTGCTTAGAGGCTCAGCTCATCCATGGATTGTAGTATTTCCAGACTAACCCTCTGTATACCTAAGAGGACAGAAAAAAAAATAGCTGAAACCCTAAGGAAGCTGAGTTGGCCTCAGAAAACTGTAGTAAAGTAAAGCATTCAAGGAGGCCACCCAGAGGACTATGAGGAGGGGTCAGGAAGGTTGGAAAATGCCACACTTTCTGCTTTTGATAACAAGTGGCCTGAATTCTCTCAATAGTATTGGCACAAACAACATTATTTTTTAAACACTTTCGGGTAAAAGAACTCCCTTTAATATGCAAATCTGCATTTATATTGGTAGAATCCATAAGGGTTTTATAGTTTTAGAAAAAAAGGTTACAATATGCATGATGTTACTGAAAACAGTTGCCAAAATTATTGTAGCATCACATGAAACACACTTTTCTGCTAACTTGCACAGACGGTCTAATTTTCTCAACACCGTGCAAAAGATACAGTTATGATCTAGAGCTTAGAGATGAGGAAACGGAGGATCCATGATGTTAGCTTACCCAGGGCCTCCCAGCTGGTAAGACTTAAGGTGAAGATCTGAATCCAGAGCTGTACAGCTTGCATAATCCAGCCCTACATCCAATATCTCTTAGACTTTACCACCTTCCCAGAACTCGTGGAAATCAATATCCCTTCTACTTCAGTGTATTTCAGGTGGGATCTGTCCAACAGGCTTATGGATGAAGGAACTGCACAATGTCTGGATCTCCATCTCAAAACCACAGCTTAATGGTTTCCAAGAGGTTGCTAAAAATAATTACAACCTCAATTCCTTTTTTGTGTGACATTTGTTAGTGAGTTTATTTACATTGCTCCTCATTTTATGTTGCTCCAAAAATTATAATGCAATTTGACCATGACCAGAGAATAAATATTTAACAATTACATCATATTCTTACATTGAGCTCTTCATTTTCCACAGGCATATAGTAATTCAAAATTGGAAGTCGATTTGCCCTTTGATGCAACAAACTTCAGAATTCTGTCTTGTTCAAATAAATGTTATTTTTATTGTCAGATGACAATAAAAATAAATGCTAATAGACTGAGGTGAGAGTAAAACCATGGATGGATAAGAAAGTCACAGGAGCTGGACTGTGCTTGAAGTAGTGGAGAAGATGTATCATATCCACTTTGCAGAAATCAAAGTTAAGACTATAAATAACCAACATGAGCAATGTGTGGTTTCTACACTAGAGTTTTCTGATGTACATCCAAGTACATTTATTTAGTTTCTGGCTTTTTGTTCCCTGTTACTGTACTTGCAGTCATTTCTGTAAGTACTCTCCAGGAGGTTAAGTTAGCACTGACTAATAAAGGAGTGCTGAAACTTCTCAAGTACGTTCTTCACAAAATCACGCCTGCAACAACACATGAGCATCCAGAAATGAAAACGATCTTTAAACACAAACTCCACTCCCTGGGGACTAGCGACTTTGTGTAAAATTACAGGAGAAGGCCCATAGTCTCAAGAGCTTCTGCCTCTTGCCATTATCTTGTTTTAGATCTGATTATGCTTCTCACATTGAGTCAGAATGCTCCCAGGGCTTTTAACGTCTTCCACCTTCCTTTTGTAACCACAAGTGCTTACTCCTCCCGCCCACCTCCCTTTTCTGCTTCCTTCCTTCTACTCAGGTAATATCTATTCAGAACATCCTAAGTGACATGTACTGCGCTGAGCACCGTAAATAAAGAGCTGGGCAAAAACACAGAGTGGCACCACCTGATGGCCTTCACAGTTCAGGAGCAGAAACAGGAGGCAGCTAATCAACAACCAAGGCAGGACAAAGGAGAAACAGGCACAGGTCCTTGAGAGCCTCTGATAGGTGGGCTTCATCCAGCAGGGGAGATGAACGAAGCCTTCGCAGAGGACATGAGGCATGAGCTGAGCTCTGAGAGGGTAGGGGCGGCCAACCGTTTGAATGGGAGATGGAAGAACTTGCAAGACAAGGGTCAGCATGCTCCAAGGCATGCTGGAGAGAGACAGCCTAATTTGCTTTTTTCTTTTGTTTGTTTTAATTTAAAATAAAGTCTTTATTTTGCCCTTGCTCTTAAAAGATTACACATTTTCGGCTGACAGCTATTTTCTCTGAGAAATTAGAAGATGTCTTCCCCTGTTTTCTGGCTTCCAAATGTTGCTGTCGAGAAATCTGCTTTTAGTCCAGCTGTGATTCTTCCATAGATAATCTGCCTTTCTCTCTGTGTTTAATGTTCTACAGGTTCACTAGATTATGGGAGTTTGCAATTTTTAAAGTTATTTATCCTAGTTGGTATATATTGTGTTCTTCCTGAATCTTTGGATTTGGGTCTCTCATTAGTCCTCGAAAATTTATCTCCCATCATCTCATCAAATGCTGCCTCTCTTTCTACATATATATTCTCTCCTTTGGGACTCGAATTGGCTACATTAAACTTCATTTATCATTTGTGTCTCCTAACTTTCCTTTAATATTTTCCATCTTGTTGAGGGAGCTTAATTTGTGTGAGGAGTAAAAATAAGTCTGTGCACCTGGGTGTGGTGGCTCACGCTTATAATTCTAGCACTTTGGGAGGCTGAGACAGGGTCTCACTTGCTAATGAGACCCTGTCTCTATAGAAAATGTAAAATAGCCAGGTGTGGAGGTGCATGCCTATAATCTCAACTACTCGAGAGGGTGAGGTGGGAGGCTCACTTGAGTCCAGGATGCTGAGGCTTCAGTGAGCCATGATCACACCACTGCACTCCAGCCTGGGCCACAGAGCGAGACCCCATCTCAAAGCAGACATTCATGCACAAAAGTTCAAGGGTGGAATCATCTCGAAGCTGATAAAATGCCCCCAACCCCTTGCTTAGAATCTTTTGAGACTATCTTGGTGGATGATCAACACAATATGCTTTTTTATTATTAATTTTATTTGTGGCAAAATACATGCAACATAAAAATTTAACATCTTCACCATTTTTAAGTGTGTAGTTCTGTGACATTAAATAGATTTTCATTGCTATGCAGCCATTACCACCATGCACCTCCAGATCTTTTTGAACTTGCAAAACAAATTCTGTCCCCATTAAACAATAACTCTCCATTTGACCTCCCCCAGCATGTGGCAACCACCATTCTACTTCTGTCTCTATGAATTTGCCCATCCTAGCTACCTCATATTAGTGAAATCATCTAATATTCGTCTTTGTGTGTATGGTTTATTTTACTTACTATAATATCCTCAAAGTTCACCCATGTTGTAGCACATGTCAGAATCTCTTTCCTTTTTAGGACTGAATAATATTCCATTGTGTGTGGAATATTATATATAATATATATAAGATATGTACATATATAGATACATACACACACACACACACACACACACACACACACACCCCACATCTTAAAAATCTATTTTTAATCCCTTGGCAAACACTTGGGACTCTTTTCTGAATGTGTAACCTTGAACCCTTTTCCTTAAAGAAGCCCTGATACTGTATGTGCTTTAGGACCCATGAACCTGGACCACTTCTGCAAAAGGGAAAGGAGGATCCAGGTAAGCATGGCAGCACCAGAGCATTTGGTGTCATTGCACCGCTTGATGTCTTGAAAAATGTGGGAAGACATCGAAGGGGTTGATGCAAGGGGACAATGGGATCATATTTGCACTTTGAAAAGCACTTACATCCTCTTCACATTTAGAACCAGTGAGAACAAAGTAAAACTCTTCCAAAATTTTCAGCAAAATTATGATTGCGTCTCTGGCTGAATCTTGTGTCCCTCTCAGAACCATTCACTCATTGGCCAGAGAATTGTTCTGTCTCAATTGGATCAGGCCTGGACCATGTGACCCACACTGCACCGACTTAGAGATGGAGTCAGTTTTACTCGAATAACAAGGGCTGAGATTGGGGGAAAAGCAGGCGTGCTTATGGGCAAGTGGGATGCAGTTACCAGAAGTAAAGTGAAGAATAAGCAACAAAACCAGCAACTCTTGCTTACCCCATGAAAGTTCAGTGAAAATATACAAAATGAATGAGTAACCTGTAGCTTATACTGTTACCATTTCCAATGATCAGACTAGGGAACTTGGACTAGGGAGGTTAAGACATTCCATGAGTATGACACAATTAATAGTGGTAGACCTGAGGTTGCACTCAGGATCCTCTGCTTACTCTACACTGTTGCCCTCTGTCTCTACCTCATACTGCCTCCCATCACACCATGCTCCTCAGACTGCTTCCCACCTCCCAACTTCCAGTGCATCAAGAGTTTACAAAATACACTGCACTAGATTACTTTTCAATTTTTTTTTGGTTGCAGTAAAGCATCTTTTCACAGAGGGGAAAAATAAATAAAAATAAGTAGACCGGACATGGTGGCTCACACCTGTAGTCCCAGCACTTTGGGAGGCCAAGGCAGGCAGATCCCTTGGGCCCAGGAATTTGAGACCAGCCTGGCCAACATGGTGAAACCCCATATCTACAAAAAAAAAAAAAAAAATATTAACCAGGCATGATGGTTCACGCCTGTAGTCCCAGCTACTCAGGAGGCTGAGGTGGGAGGATCACTTGAGCCCAAGAGGTAGAGGCTACAGTGAGCCCAGATCAAGCCACTGCACTCCTAGCCTGAGTGACAGAGCAAGACCCTATAGCAACAACAAACCAATCAAGCAAACAACCAAATACACAAACATTTTATCACTGAAGCCTCTGAATATCTAGGGCTGTATTGGGAATGCAGTGGTAGCTTAATGAGTGCTTATGGAATTACGTTCCCTTTTAATGTTTCCTGCCTGTGCACTTGGATTGTATCTTTATTCGAAATAAGGAATTAATAAAATGGACTTTCTGCATTATGTAATTTCTCAGCTATTGATGTTTTTCTGTTGATTCTAGCTCCGCAAATTTGGAAAAGGTCAGTGGAAAGTATGCAAAAACACTGTCATAGTTATGGAGAAATAAACTGTCACAAACAGACTCTCCAATTAGTCTGATCATTATTAAATTGCAGCAGGCACACTAAAATAATTTTTATTCTTCTATAAAAGCAGACATCAATATGTTTTTGTGGGACTTTCGATTGGCACAAAGAGATATGAAAGGGCCCAGAGAAAGCTCTCTGGTCTGCATTTTCATTTTGTAAACAAAGAATCACAGATTTTTTTTTTCAGTAACATTGTTCAATATCCTCAGTATGGCAGAATTGCTTAAATTATGGCATGTGTTCCATAGGGTTATGAACCCAACCACAGATGACAGTGGGCCATGGTAGATTCTCATTTATGATACTTGACAAAATAACTAGTTATTCTGAAACTGTTGCAGGCCACTCTGACAGCAGTTTGCACTGTTCATCAAGTAAGGCTTATCCATCTTTGTATCCCATACCTCCAGCAACTAGCAGGCTCTTGCAGCCTTGTATTTGTTGACTAAATATACAAAATGGTTGCATGTGTTTACTTTTTAATCTTCCTCCTGATCTGCACTTAACAAATTGGAACATATCTGTAGTCTTCATCATAATATTCCCAGTGCCTAGTTCAGTACTAGGGACATAAGAGGAACCCTTTTTAAATGTATTCATTCATTCAACACAAATTGTTTTCATCCCCTTCCATGGGGTATCAAAACAGTCGCAACCTGTTTTGCAGCAGTGTACAAAACTCACTGAGACCTGCCTTGGACAGACTTTATAGTCTAACGCAAGACCTTCCCATCTGCAGTTTGAAGTCCATTGACCGTAAAATTAATTCAGTGGCTGGAGATATTTTTTTTTGAGACAGAATCTCACCGGAGTGAAGTGGCGAATACAACATTTTTTTAAAAAGGAACTATGATACACTATTTCCGAGTCAGACTGCATATGGTAGAGGTGAATATTGATGAATGGAACATTTGTGTGCATATAGAGTCATGAGATTGTTTTTCATTTTCGTTTGTTCATTTGTTTGTTTGTTGTTGTTTGCTACCTATTACACCACGTCCTAAAATAAGGTCGGCTAAATAAGCTATCGAGCCCATACCCCGAAAATGTTGGTTATATCCTTCCCATAAGCCATCGAGCCCATACCCCGAAAATGCTGGTTACATCCTTCCCATAAGCCATCAAGCCCATACCCCGAAAATGCTGGTTACATCCTTCCCATAAGCCATCGAGCCCATACCCCGAAAATGCTGGTTACATCCTTCCCATAAGCCATCGAGCCCATACCCCGAAAATGCTGGTTACATCCTTCCCATAAGCCATCGAGCCCATACCCCGAAAATGCTGGTTACATCCTTCCCATAAGCCATCGAGCCCATACCCCGAAAATGCTGGTTACATCCTTCCCATAAGCCATCGAGCCCATACCCCGAAAATGCTGGTTACATCCTTCCCATAAGCCATCGAGCCCATACCCCGAAAATGCTGGTTACATCCTTCCCATAAGCCATCGAGCCCATACCCCGAAAATGCTGGTTACATCCTTCCCATAAGCCATCGAGCCCATACCCCGAAAATGCTGGTTACATCCTTCCCATAAGCCATCGAGCCCATACCCCGAAAATGCTGGTTACATCCTTCCCATAAGCCATCGAGCCCATACCCCGAAAATGCTGGTTACATCCTTCCCATAAGCCATCGAGCCCATACCCCGAAAATGCTGGTTACATCCTTCCCATAAGCCATCGAGCCCATACCCCGAAAATGCTGGTTACATCCTTCCCATAAGCCATCGAGCCCATACCCCGAAAATGCTGGTTACATCCTTCCCATAAGCCATCGAGCCCATACCCCGAAAATGTTGGTTACATCCTTCCCATAAGCCATCGAGCCCATACCCCGAAAATGTTGGTTACATCCTTCCCATAAGCCATCGAGCCCATACCCCGAAAATGCTGGTTACATCCTTCCCATAAGCCATCGAGTCCATACCCCGAAAATGCTGGTTACATCCTTCCCATAAGCCATCGAGCCCATACCCCGAAAATGTTGGTTACATCCTTCCCATAAGCCATCGAGCCCATACCCCGAAAATGCTGGTTACATCCTTCCCATACTAATTAATCCGTTAGTCTAACTTATTAGTTCCCTTACTGTTTTCACAGGAACTCTTACCACAATGCTGAGTCGTGAACAAAAACGTTTGGAAGCCATTGGTATAGGGAGTTGAAAATAAACAAAATAAAAAAACAGATGCCATATAACATCAAGTAATAGTGGAAGATAACAATTTAACGTAGACCAAGGGGTTAAAGGATGACTAATAGTATTGTTTCATACATGAAGTTCAAGATGTCCTCTCTGAAAGGGTGGAATTTGAACAGAGACTGAACAACGTGAGGAAAATATCTGGCGAATTGACTTCCAGGAAGAAAGAAGAGCAGGTGTGTAGTTGGGGGTATTTGAGGCAAAGCAAAGAGGACAATATGGCAAGAATCCAATGAATAGTATCTGCGAACAACATGGTCAAGACATCCAGAAGCAATGTAGGACCTTGAAGATCCTAATATGGATTTTGGACTTTATTCTAAGCAGGACAGGAAACCACTTGGAATCACATCCAATGTTTAGTTTTAATATTGAGCCAAAAAATGACATTATCCAATTTGTTTTTTTGCTAGACAAGTGAAGGAAACCTTGCTGTTTATTCATCATATAAGCAGGAGATTCCTAGCTCATAGAGGGAAATATCATAATCTACTTTATTTCTTTCTGTCCATTAATATGTAACCAGTGAAATAACACTATTTTCTTCATTGTTGACATATGTTCCTTGCTCCAAATATTTTTTCAATAGTTTCATCAGGTTATTAAGAGTGTACAAAACTGACACTGATTCATGTGTTTACATGCAACAATAAAGAGTAGGAAATCATGGTCGGTACCATTCCCCTGAATGAGATCAGAAACAGTCCAGGAGTAAAGTGCTTTGCAGTTGCCCTGTAAACAGGCTGATCTGAGATGCCACTTCTATGACTCATGAACAAAGCACAGACCTGTGCTGAAGCCCTGTCCAACTGCCTCTGCAGGGTCACACAGGACTTCATTCTACCCCAGTTCTCGAATTTTCTGTTTTCATTAGAATAGGCACCTGAGTCCCCTAAAGACAGACTGGTCCTTCTCAACGGTATCAGAGGGACAGGCAGACTTCTGTGTTCTCTGCTTCCGAGTGAGCACTTCCTTAATATCAGCAGGTGCTACATTCTCTGAAATTCACCTGCTCAAATAAAGAAAGACATTACAAAGAAAAGGCCCCTACACTTACAAATAAATTACAGAAATAGAAAAAAAAATTGAAAATTCATATGGAAACACAGAAGACCCCACAATCTTGAGCAAAAATAATAAAACTGCAGGTATCACACTGCTTAACTTCAAAATATATCACAAAGCTATTGTAAACAAAATAACATGGTACTGGCATAAAAACAGACACATTAACCAATGGAACTGAATAGAAAGCCCAGAAGTAAACCCACACATTTACAGCCAAGTGGTTTTTCACAGAGGTGCCAAGAACACACTGTGGGGAAAGAACAATCTTTTCAACACATGGCACTGAGGAAAACTAGACAGTCACATGCAGAGGAATGAAATTAGATTCTTACCTCACATCATATACAAAAACAAACTCAAAATATCCAAAATACATAGGGATCTGAAACAACTCAATAGTGAGAAACAAATAACCTGATTTTAAAAAAATAGGTAAGGGACCTAAACAGACATTTTTCAAAAGAAGATATACAAATGTTCAACAGATTAACATGCAAGCTCCTTTGGTAGAAAGCAACCCTGAATAAATCAGGGAAGGACATGTCCTTTTGTGTCTCCAATGATGCAAAAGAAAGTTTGTGATTGGTTACAATGCCCCTTCCGCCTGCCATGCCCAGTATGAACAAAGCCAGTTTAGAATTCCAAGACCATCCAGAATACCAGAATTTTCTACTTCCATGGAAAAGTTGACAGTCCGTGTCATGAGATATCAAATTAGTGGCAAGTAAAGTTATTAGACCAGATTCTGTCTCCACACTCTTCTGAAACTTTCATTTCGTAGTGAACAAACAAATCAAGTTGTTCAGGGCAGGCATTCTCAACTTTGCTATTTCTTTAAATTAAACCAAATATTGTGCTCTTCCATACCCTTTTAGGTCCTAAGGCCTCTTACACCCTCAACCTCCTTTCCCAGAGCAGCCTTAAAGTTCACAGGGAAGTCTCTACGTCTGAATTGATTTGTTTTGTATGTTTATTATCTACATAGTATAATAGATTCAATGCTTCTCATTTTTTGAGACACAATTAAAATATTTGCATTATGGCACAGTTTTGTAAAACTGTCCTCTCTCTCAGATGGCTGGGATGAAATTTGTGAAAGAAGTCCAATGGCTCCCTTCAAAACTGGTGGAACCATTTAATAAAGCTGGTTCTTTTCTTGATGTATCTTTTGAAAAGGAAACAATGTAGCTGACAGCCTTTTCCTCCTGTTTGGAAGCTGTTTCCTAAATCTATTTTTTTAATAGAGGGAAAGTTTCATTTTGATCTCGTTTATGTGTGAGATGTGCGAGCAAGAATTAACATTGTATATATACCAAGGGAAATCTTTTAAAAATGATTTTTCAAAGTACAAAATGTCTCAGGTAATAAGGAACATTGAACTCATCCTGCTGTGCTCCCTGGTTAACTCTGGAGTCTGACTGATATGGTTTGGCTCTGTGTTCCCACCCAAATCTCATTTCGAATTATAAACCCCATGTGCTGAGGAGGAACCCTGGTGGGAGGTGATGGGATCATGGGGCGGTTTCTCCCATGATGTTCCCCTGATAGTGAGTTTTCAAGAGATCTGATAGTTTAAAAATGGCACGTCCCATTTCTCTGTCTCTCTCTCCTGCTGTCATGTATGATATGCTTTGCTGCCCCTTCCGCCATGATTGTTACTTTGCTGAGGCATCCCCAGCCATGCGGAAATGTAAGCCAATTAAACTTCTTTCTTTTTAAATTACCCAGTCTCAGGTATTTTGTATAGCAATGTGAAAATGGACTAATACACCGATTTAAAGGCAAATTATCTATTTTGTGTATGTGTATAGGAAGACTACCTAAAATCTACTCTTTTTGCAACTTACTAGTCTGTAATAGAATATTTACAACTATAGTCCTCATGTTGCAGAGCAGGTCTCTAGACTTTCTTATGCCCCGTGAATGCAGCTGCGCCCACTCTGATTTCCATCTTCCCCTTTCCTGCCTTCACCCCCTGCCGTTGGTAAATATTTAGTCTCCATTGTATGTATTCTTTTTTTTTTTTAAGATTCCACATATAAGTGTGATCATGCAGTGGTTTTTGTTTTTTGTTTTGTTTTTTTTCTGTGTCTGGTTTATTTTACTTAACACAATGACCCCTAGGCTCATCCAGTTTACTATTGTGAAAGGCAGGATCTCCTTCTTTTGTTGCTGTTGTTGTCATTAACTATAGTGATCACTTCACTATATCACTATATATGTATATTAAGATAAGGATATCAAAACATTATATTATACATCTTAAATATATGCAATTTTTTAATGGCAAAAACAATGTAAATAAGTGGTCCCTTAAAGAAAGATTCAGGAGTTTGGTAAATGTTTTTTGACTCCTCCACAAATGTGGCTTTGAGCTGCACATATGGAGGTAGGAGTGAGTCAGAGCAGCCCTCTTTGCATTTTTGAGTTAAAGGTAAAACAATTTGTTTTCATCCTTTTGGTCTCAGAGACAGTTTTTTATGGGTCTGGGGAGAAAACTGCAATATTTGGCAATCACATACAGGCAGGAAACCCCTATAATTTGGCTGGATAGAAGCTAACGTAAGCTGAGCCTGTATTTGACATATGTAGCCTAATAAAAGGAGTGTGCATAGCTTCTGTGGATATGAGAAATGGGTCATCTTCCTTATTAAATGCAGCTTCATTTAGTCTATTGCCCACCCCTAAATAAACTTGCAAACTAATGGGATTCAACCTTGCCCCATTCAACAGCTGGATGCTTCAAGGTGATGAGAAAAGGTAACACCTTCTTGGTGCATGTGGACCAGAGGCCTCATGCACCTCATTATATTGAGCAGTTTCCTTTTTAACTTTCTTCAGAAACAAGGTCTTACTATTGTGCCCAGGCTGGTCTTGAACTCCTGAGCTCAAGAAATCCTCCTGCCTCGGCCACGCAAAGTGCTGGGATTCTACTCCATGCCTGGCCCAGCAGCTTCCATTCAGCTATGCAGAGACAAGTGATAGCAAATCTGTGGCAGGGTCTAAACGTGTTTTAAAATGTCCTGCAGCATCTGCACCTGCAGGGTGATCCTGCTTCTAAGACAGTGATGCCACTTCAGGCCCCCAACAGGCCCTCATCCTGAAACACTTAGACTTTTTTGTGTGTTTTCAATTATAATTGTACTTTTAAGGTTTGCTGCATTTTTTTCTTTTTATAATTACAAAAGTAGTAGAGTATCTCTACATAAATGCATAATGAGAAAGTGACCCAAGGCTCACCTCCCACAGAGCCCATGCTCAAGTTGGAAGCAGGGTTAACAACACCCAACCATTTTCAGTAAGACCTCTCCTTCCCTAAAATATTTATATAAATTTAAATTGAGGCCTCCCATGACAAATGATTGTCAGCTCCAAACATCAGCATGTCCAGGTTCACAAACCCCATTTATTCACTTTACTGAGGACATCCACGGGCTCAGGAAAGGGTTCCAGCTGCCTCATCTCACTGCTCCCCATCCCCATCTCTCTCCATCCTCCTCTCTCACCACTCTGTGACCTCCACTCCCCTTGATCCCAGGAGAGCCGGGTTCCTAGCTGTTACCTTGCCATGGACCCTCATCTCTCCCTTTCTGAAGCAGTGTTGCCTATTAGTCAGAGATATTCCCAACCCAAGCACCTTTGCAAAGACTTTTCCCAGCAAGAGTAACTTTTCCAAAAGAGAAGGTCTCATGTAAATCAGTAAGTGAGCAGAGATTTTTTTCTGTTTCTGTAAATACAGATTGAAGTTATATTTCATTCAAATTGAAGACATGCCAGTTTAACCATTATGTGACATGAAATGCTAATGCAATATTACTTGATTTGAATACTTGGAAATAATAGATACCACCCAAGTTAGTAATAAAGCATCAAGAATCACATTATTTCACAGCTGGTTTGCTGAATAGATTGTAAACTTAGTTAATGATATTGCTCCATTATGGTGCCAATTTATTTAGCCAAGAAAGCAAAAATACCAGTGATTTTTCAGCTGATTTTTCCTGACATCAGAACTTGGGATCTAAATGAAAGAGAGAGGGGGCATTGCATATGGTCTAAATTCATCCTTATTGTGTTTCTTTGATATGGGCATTATTATGATTCTTAATTTACAGCAATTTAACACAGGCTCAGAGTAGCAAAATCACAGTTTATATAGCAGCTTATATGAAATATTTAAAGTATATAAACATGTAGGGAGAATATATTTCACGAGAGATTCATTCCTGAAGAAACAACATAATTCAGATTGGATAATTCCTAAGTAATCCTGGAATGACTGTTTTTTTTTTTTTTTTTTTTTTTTTTTTACTGGCTACATGGGCACTCCCCTGACACATTTTAATAATCCCTCTGAAGACTGTCAGAGGAAGACAGTGAAGTCCTTGCTTTATACAAGATGTTGGGTTGAATTCAGCAGCCTCGTCCCAGCCTGGTGTGCTCATGAGTGGCTTACAGAAGGATACGGGCTGCATTTCAGCGGGCTTTTCCCATGGTCTGCACTTGAACCCTGCACCACCTGTGAGGTCTCCTATTGAAATGTGGGTGAACCCCCCATCTTGAGTCACACCTTCCATAGGCAAAGGTTCTCTTGCATCATCCTTCTTAATACCTGCCCTTAGACCTCACTTAGCCCCATTCTCTTTCAACCCCTTCATGTTTCTTTTAGTCAATTAGATTCCTTTTGATGAACTTCCTATCCAGTGTAGATTTCGCAGGACCACCTCTTAATTATCCTGTAAAAAGATCATCAACATCTAGCTCTCTTATCTTCCCACTGTGCCTACCCAGCCAATTATAAACTCTTGACAAATTCCAACACCCACATAGATGATATCTGCACCTCGGTTGTCAAAGGCTATTGGAAGAATATCCCAGGGGGAGTGGACTTGGTTTCTCTGCCAGTTCATGGTCTCCAGCCCTGAGCTGACCTCATGGCCACTCAAGTCTTCTATGACATGAATCCAGGCATCTTCCTCACTGGGTCTTTTCCCCAACTGCCCAACTAATCCCCACCCTCTGTGCTATCGGAAAGCACCTGCTTCTCAATTCCTAGAGGGACAGGGAGCTCCGGTAGGAATCCCCTGCCTCTGCTGTCCCACCTGTTGCCCTTATCTGCTATAGCATGTCTGTCATTGTCTCCTCTCTGTCTCAATGGACCAGACCTCATCTCAGCATCCTGTCTCCTCATTCAGTCCTCATTTTGCTACACTCATGCTTCTCACCCAAATATTCTGAATTTGTCCTGTGTAATATTGTTAATGATTCTCTAATGGCCAACAGAGTTCCTCTCTTTTTTTTCTTTCTCACCTTTCTTCTTTCTGCTTTATTTTCCCTACTCTCTACATCCCCTCTTGGCACTTCATTCTTGGGAATTTGGGGCTTAGACCCTGAAGTCAGGCTGCCTGGGTTCAAGTTCCAGCTCTGCCTTCTTACTATGTGTCTTTGGAGAAGTTATTTATCCTTCATATGCCATAGTTAGGTTATCTAGTAAATAGTTGTTAATAAGTGGTACTTCCACACATTGTGAGGTTAATGTGAATATTGAATGCTTGGCCTTTGATGATTTCAGCCATTATTTATTTAACAAACACTGAATGCATGCCTACACTGTACCAAATATTGGGGATACAGACGTGGACAGCAGTCTTCAGAATCAAAAGAAGTTCCTGACATTGGTTTGTTTAAAAACCCAATGATTAAAAATTTCCTAATGTTTCTCTTTTTCAAGCAAACAGACATCATAACCCCTTTATAGAATTTCAAAGTCACACTCTCTTTTGTTCTTTTGAACAAATACTGAGACCCCCTCTTGTTTTCAAAGGTATATTTCATCTCTTTTTAAAAAATATATTGATCTCTTTTTAAGTGCATATTAAATATTATTTCAAAGCTATATTCCTAACGAATAAAAAGTCCCTTCTCTCTTGAAGATCACAAAGAATGCTTAGAATGATTCAGGGAACTGGAGAAATTTTGGATAAATTCAGGCATAAAAGAAAGCTTGCAATTTTGGTGTCTTAGGAACCAGAATGTTTTGGTCTCAGTCTCTGGAAGGCTTCTCTCTTCTTGCAGTCCAATCTTTATAAATGATAAAGAAGGTCATGGCTTTCAATTCCGTACCTTGGCATTTATTTCCCCACAAGAATATAAATACAGTCATTAAATTATTTAATGTCTCACAATGTGAGAGTTATGTCCACATCTCCTTGGTTGCCACTTTTTTTAATCTATGGCTGGGCGTGGTGGCTCATGCCTGTAATCCCAGCACTTTTGGAGGCTGAGGAGTGAGGATCACTTGAGGCTAGGAGTTCAAGACCAGCCTGGCCAACACGACGAACCCTCATCTTTACAAAAATATAAAAATTAGCCAGGCGTGGTGGTGCACACCTATAATCCCAGCTACTCGGGAGTCTGAGGCATGAGAATCACTTTAAACCCAGAGGCAGAGTTTGCAGTGAGCCTAGGTCACACCACTGCACTCTAGTCTAGGTGACAGAGTGAGACCCTATCTCAAAAAAAAAAAAAAAAAAATCTGCTCACCACAAGGATGTGTCATAGCCAGCATATGAATCTGCAAAACCTGGTCCTAGCTTCTGTGTTCAGTCACCACCCCAAGCTGCCTCTCACCAATTTTCATTAGAAACATTTGATTTTTCATGTTGTTTGGCTGTTGCCCCTGGTGTGAACAACTTCTACTTCCTCTAAAATATTCATGACAGAAAAGAAAGGGATGAACAAAAATATCCCATGTCCCCATCTAATGTCTAACTTCTAAGTCTGGAAGGAATTTTCAAGGCTATTGGGGCCTCACTGAGAAAAATGTATCTGTTCTTCACCCCTTTGCTTCTTTATCTTATAAAATATTGACTCCTGGGGCAAAACCAAAAGATGCTCAGGTTTTCTATTGTGATGTGTCAAACTACCTTAAAATATATAGGCTTTAAATAATCATTTAGCTTATTTAAAATTCTGCAAATTGTGCAATGCTTGAAAAGGTTAATTCATCTCTGTTCCTTACAGCATCAGCTGAGGAGCCTCAACTAGAAGCTGCAGGGCTTGCTTTTAACATGGCTCATCACATCTCTGGCAAACGGGTTGGCTCTCATCCGGAAACTCAATTAAGGCTGTGACACTGACGAGGCCTCACTGTGTCCCTCTGTGGATCTCTCCACAGGACGCTTGAGCTTCCTCACGGCATGGTGCCTTGGTTCCCAGAGGGATAATGCTTCAAGAATCAGGAGGGAGCCTATTATGAGCTAGTCAAAGAGCTCACATAGCAAGATTTCTGCTATAAATCCCAAAAATAAAACCCAGATTCAAGGAGAAGGAGCACAGACCCCACATCTCAATGGGAAGAGTATTAAAACCTGATTGTAGGCTGGGCATGGTGGCTCACACCTGTAATCCCATCACTTTAGGAGGTCGAGGTAGGTGGATCACTTGAGGTCAGGAGTTCGAAACTAGCCTGGCCAACATAGTGAAACCCCATCTCTACTAAAAATACAAAAATTAGCCAGGTGTGGTGGTCCACGACTGCAGTCCCAGGTACTCGGGAGGCTGAGACAGGAGAATTGCTTGGATCGGGAAGGCAGAGATTGCAGAGAGCCGAAATCATGCCACTGCACTCCAGCCTGGGCAACAGTGAGGCTCCATCTCAAAAAACAAACAAATGAAAACAAAGCAAAACAAAACTAAAAACCCCTGATTGTAACAAGTGCATGAGGGGTGGGAGAAACTGCAGTGGCCATTTTGGAAAATGCAATTTTCCAAAGGTAGTAAGAACCTCATCCTGGGAGGTCACCTGTGTAACTCAGAAGCCCAGAATGTCTACAAGTAGAAGAACTATTCTGTAGGCCCAGCTTCTGCCCATCAGAAACCCTGGCTTGTATAGATGTTTGTTTGAAAAAAAAGGGGGAGAAAAAGAAGAGTTTTCAGTGGACTAAAAACCAACTCCTCTTGAGATAAATAAGGTGAAAGGGCTGTTTGATAAATAAGAAATAAGGAGAGAACACCAAAAACTCTTTAACTATGAAGGAAAAGGGAGTGAAAAGAGGCCATTAAGTCATGGTGGGAGAGTAACAATCTCAAATACATGAAGGTTCCAGGAAGCTGGAATAAACAGGTAAAGACACAAAAGTATAAAGAACACAAAAGGTCTGGCTGAGTGACTCCCACCTGTGCTTTGTAAGGCTGAAGTGGGAGGATAACTTGAGGTCAGAAGTTTGAGACCAGCCTGGACAACATAGCAAGATTCCCAGTCTCTGCAAAAAATAAAAAATTAGCTGGGTGTGGTGGAGCATGCCTATAGTCCCAGCTACTATGGAGGTTGAGACGGGAGAATCGTTTTAGCTTGCGAGTTCACGGTTACAGTGAGCCATGATTGTGCCACCGCACTCCAGCCTGCACAACAGAGCAAGAAAGACCCTGTCTCAAAAAAAGAAAAAATAAAAACAGAAAAGAAAAAGGAAACAATAAGAGTAAAATGACCAATAAATACTTTCATTTGCAATAACCTAGACATGTTAGATTAGAGATCTTTTTTTATAAATGCCTAGCAAATGCTTTAAGAAAGATATGAAATCTCTATGTGTTAGAAGCTAAAATAAAACTGAAAATGAAAGCAGTAAAATATCCAAAAAAGAAAATAAATTAGGTAGAAAAGCATTTCCAGGTAACGTTATCTCTCAAAAAGTGCGTCTAAATTTGCAACTAATGTGACTTGACGTATTGCATGTTGGAACCAGAACTGGTCAATTGCTTACCTCCTCTTCCTCCAAATCAAAGCAATGCCCCCTACCGCAGACCATTTACGACTGAGCCTTGGCCTGCCCATTTGCTCCACTTAGAGTCCATAGTCATAACCTTGCACGTAGACACCCTTGCCTATCTTTGATCTGGAATATAATTACGATGACAAAAATCCAGGGCCTCATACAGCACACAAGTCAATTCTTCATTAGTTAGAGAGTTTCTCTACAGCTGTGATGGAGAAAGTTATATTATTTAAGGTCAGGAAGTGAGTGACAGACTTAGAACTAGATTCCAACTCCCCAGTGTTATTCAGTACATTGGCCTTCTCATCTGCACCCTATTTATTTATCATTTTATCTGGATAATTAGTTAATTCAATGAACATTAAGCATTATGTCTATGCTATGTACCAAAGATATCCAGATATGCATTTGTAGGAATGTCTGCTTCTAGTACCTGGCTGCCATTTGAATATGCATTTTTAAAATTGCAACCCAGTCTTCATGTTCATAGTCGATACATACCAAACAAGCAGAGCACGCCAGATGTCATGGGAAGGCAGACTCCAGACCAATCTGAAGTTGATCTAGATTTAGGTTTTTCTGGTTGCTTTCTCTTTGATCTGAATGATAGCTGATCACTTAAACTTGTGTGTAGAACAGATGCTTGATTTCCAGGATTTGGCAAAATATAAACTATCTTCTTGCCCTTGATGACAATTTCTCTCTAATTACAGGAGGTGGGATTCTTTTCAAAGGACAGTGGGAATGTGTGTACATAAAAGTATAAAATGATAGGAAGTAGAGTGGTCCAGGCACAGCTGTTTCACATTATTGTATATAAATTTTATTTTTAAAGTTTGCATTTCATCTGTGGGACTTTGAAATTGGGTTAAGTATCATGTATGGCAACAAATACATAGAAAGGTTGAGTGACTGATGTCCTTTGATCAGAGAGAGACAGTGAATTTGCTTTGTGTTACAGCATCTCTTGCTATGAATCACCTGTAAGATCAATATCAGGAAAGGCCTGTCAGCCAGTCATCTCAAATTGAGTCAAAGATAATGCTGAAAACATTTATGAATTCCATATCCTTACTTTGCTCCTGCTTCCAATTGTGGATCTGTCTGCCCCTACAATACCTGACAAGTATATCAAAAAAAAAAAATCCCCACCTGATCCTAACTAGAGTCACCCAGTTAGAATTCACTCTGTTCACACTGGACTCACTTTTATCTGGGGCCATCTTAAGCTTCAAACCATGGTTGTGGTTAATGCAGGTTTTAGATTTTACCTGTGGAGTTCCTGAAGGTGAAGTCCATTTTCTCTGGAAGGATACTTCCTTAGACCATTTCTTGTTTCATATTGCAGTGATGTGACTAAGAAGTTGGCACTGTGTTTTATCACAAGGGAAATCTCCCACAGCATTCCTGTTGAACTCGGAGCCATTTCCCATGTTGAACAGGTTGGATTTTTCCACCTATTCATGGACAGGCATGAACACATGGCTGGATAGGTTTTTAGGAGGGCTTTGCTACGAAACAATGATCATGGTGACCACTGCACTGAAAAACATATCTGGAAGCTCTGCAACGGTATTCAGGTAACTTGTTTTATATCTTCTAGAATTCAGTATAAAGGGACAGATTTTGGAAGTGAAGTGGCAAGAGAAGGAAGAAATCACAGTGATGTCTGCTTTGTGTCAAGCAATAATTATCATATTTTGACACCCAGTCTGGAGCAATAATTTAAGCAAATCATGATGCATATCAAATTGACACTCTGTCCATAGCAGCCCCAAGTATATGTAATTAAAATTGTATCTGTAACCGTTTACCATTCACTGGGTAAGAGAATGTTTGAGAGGTGGCAGAAAGAAAAATATAAACAAAATACAAATGTAACATTGTATTCACATTGTAGTAGGGAATCTGACAGATGATGTATACCACCTTGCATTTCAAGAAAAAGTGAATTTAAAAAGTTCCCCAGAAATCACAGATTTTGTTACACCCTTTTTTTAAATTCACAATTCAAATATTCTTTCTGAAGTACCTCCCTTCCCACAATAAATTAACCTAGTGCTTATGTACATTTCACAATAATTTCAATAAGAAGCACTAACAGGTGGGAAAACTTCTGTTTAAACTAGAGGTAAACTTGTGGACAATTACAACTTTCTCTCAGCCCAAGTGCTCAACTCCTAACGTTGCATTTTTTGTTGTCTAAGGCCTGAAAACTCAACTGAAATAATTTTACTCTTTAAAAATTGCTTAAGACTAAAGGGTATATTAGGTCCCAGTTACTCCACAAGTCCAGAAATGAAAATCTTGAATTTGAATCATTTAATTGGCAAATCAGACATCTGTGCTAAGATCCCATCAAGATAAGAATCTATGAACTTTCTTTCATTCACCTATTTCCTATTTTAAATAATTTGGACTGCAGGTTCAGAGTGGATTCAATTATAGTATTTCACAAATATGCTATTGTTGTCGGCTTATGTGAGGTGCCTCCTTTTTGCTTCTTGCTCATTTATTTCCTTCCTTTCACTTCTGTTTCCTTTCTGCCCAGAGATATTAATGTGTTTGGCAATTGTCCCAAAACATGCATAGATCGTAAGTTGCAAATTTTGGGTTTGTTTTTAGTATGAATAATGGTGCCTGGACTCTTGTCCTGTTTCTAGAATGTTTCATTTAACGCCAATTTTGAGATGTATCCATGCAGCATATGTTCATATGTGATTCTTCAGGTTGTTCAGGGGTCCATAAAATCAACATGAAGTCTTAATTACTCTGGGACCATCATCACCTATTGTTTTATAAACCCGAGGAAGTGACAGTCAATGGTAAAACATGAGGCAGTACCCCTGGTTTTGGGGAAAGACTAGACCCTTGCTTTTCATTTATCACATATGCAGCCATCTTTGGCCACTGGGGTCAGTTCAGAAAATGCTTACTCCCTCCCTCACTGAAGAGAACACCTTTACCCATCATATTCTGTCTTCTAAAATGTAAATATTCCAAATGGAACATCTCTTACATCTCTGAAGCAGTGCTCCTCAGCTTTCTTTCATTATTGTTACCCTAAGCAATCATCCCACATGCTATTCTAATACCCAAATATGTTGCATATCTTTTTACTGCTGTATGTATATTTGTGCTTTATACCTAAAAAGTGTAATGCTCTTTACCTCCCAGGTGACATAGCCCCATTAAATGTGCATTCTATAAAGCGACTTCTGTGTTTGTTGTGTATCCATCACCAGCAGTAGCTTTCCTCCTTCTTGGCATGAACATCTTTCAACCCCAATTCAAAATTCACTGCCTTCAAACACCAAATTCCCTTCATACTCCATGGAAAACCCAAGGCTCCCACCCCTGGCCCACTAGGACATTTGAGCTGCATCTCATCCATTTCCTTACTTTTCTCTACCTTGGATAGCAGCTTTTTCTATGCCGCCGCGTCCTCCTAGAACAAAAGAGTTTCAATTAACTGTATCATAGTCCTTCTCCGAGTCTCTTTGCCTAACAAAGGCTTATCTGAACATTTTCGGATAAATTTTGCTAAAATAAATAATGCTCATCAGATAAGAAACATGGGAGAATTTACACTCATCTCCTAAAGTTTTCCTAACTTGTAATTATGAAGTCTTTTGTGTAATTTAAGTAAATATACACAAACGCATGAACCTGAGAATGTCTTTACTGGCAAACACATCTGCTAACAAAATATGTGTTTGATCACTGCAACAGTCAAATCACTGTAGCTTAAATAAAAGTCAGAGAATATTTTCTCTTTGTAAGGGGATTATGAATGAAAAATAAGTTAAATCAGCAGTAAACCCTGAGAATGACAACGTGGACTGAATCCTGATCCTCAAAGCATGCTGCGTTACCATTGAGAGCCCCAGGTTTATCTGTGGATAAGAATACAAAAGTGGGACAAGATATAGGAAATTAATTTTGAATTGGCTGAAGCTACAGGATGAATATTTTCTGAAATTTCTTCAGATGTGAGATAATATGTGTTTCTGCTGTGGTCTTTAATAAGAAAAGAAAGAAGGTGACCAAATCAATATGTCAATATTAGAAACAACTGAAGTTATTTATATTAAAAACTATAGAACAGAGTTACGACTTTCTCTTACGACAGAATGCCTTAACGCATATAAAACAACTTGAGAATGGTACACGATTCATCAGTTTACATTAGCAGAGGGAAAGTAATTTTGTTTTCAATTAAGAGCACGTTACTAGATTTTTTAATATGTAAAATGTAACTCTGCTGTAAGATAATTGGGAGGTCGGATTAATAAATATAAGTAGTATAGCCTCCCTTCAGAATACTCATTGGATATAAGAATACCTTCCCCATTTTCCACATCAGGGAAAAGAAGCCAATCAAATCTAGCCAGGATCTCTTACAAGTGCAGACAGACTAGACCCCTTTCATTTTTAGGTCCCCCCAGTATGTCAAAAATGAGGTATCAAAAAATATGACAAAAGTATGTTTTAAATATTTATATTTTAATAATTCACGCTTCCTAATATATTAATAATATAAGTCAATTTATGTATGCTCTTCATGATTTACAAGTTACATATTAGCCAAATGCACACGTCCTACAACACCCTTCCACACTCTGACTTTGAGGCTGTCCAGGTGAGGGTTGAGATCTGGGCTCCCTCCTGTTGGGGGTTGACCTCAGATGCAGGCCAGGCCTGTGTCTTCCTTTTATTCCTGATCTCTGGACTGGAGGTCAGAGAATGCAGGTGGTATGGTTTGGCAGTGTCCCCCCCCAAATTTCATCTTGAATTGCAGTACCCCTAATTCCCATGTGTCATGGGAGTGACCTGGTGGTGTGTCCAGAATTGGTGTGTTCTTGGTCTCACTGACTTCAAGAATGAAGCCGTGGACCCTCGCGCTAAGTGTTACAGTTTCTTAAAGACGGTGTGTCCAGAGTTTGTTTCTTCTCATGTTTGGACGTGTTCAGAGTTTCTTCCTTCCGGTGGGTTCGTGGTCTCGCTGGCTTCAGGAGTGAAGCTGCAGACCTTCGCAGTGAGTGTCACAGCTCTTAAGGCGGCGCATCTAGAGTTGTTGGTTACTCCCGTCTGGAGTTGTTCATTCCTCCAAAGGGGTTCATGGTCTCGCTGGCCTCAAGAGTGAAGCTACAGACCTTCGCAGTCAGTGTTACAGCTCATAAAGGCAGTGCGGACCCGAAGAGTGAGCAGCAGCAAGATTTATTGCAAACAGCAAAAGAATAAAGTTTCCACTGTGCGGAAGGGGACCAGAGCAGGTTGTAGCAGCTGGCTTGGGCAGCCTGCTTTTATCCCCTTATCTGACCCCCACCCACATCCTGCTGATTGGCCCATTTTACAGAGAGCTGATTGGTCCATTTTACAGAGAGCTGATTGGTCTGTTTTACAGAGAGCTGATTGGTCTGTTTTGACAGGGTGCTGATTGGTGCCTTTACAATTCCTGAGCTAGACACAGAGTGCTGATTTGCGTATTTACAATCCTCTAGCTAGACATAAAAGTTCTCCAAGTCCCTGCTAGATTAACTAGACACAGAGCACTGATTGGTGTGTTTACAAATCTTGAGCTAGACACAGGGTGCTGATTGGTGCATTTACAAACCTTGACCTAGACACAGAGTGCTGATTGGTGTATTTACAATCTTTTAGCTAGACATAAAGGTTCTCCGAGTCCCCACCAGATTAGCTAGACACAGAGTGCTGACGGGTGCATCCATGAACCCCAAGCTAGACACAGAGCGCTGACCGGTGCATATAAAATCCTCTGGCTAGATGTAAAAGTTCTCCAAGTCCCCACCCAACTCAGGAGCCCAGCTGGCTTCGCCTAGTGGATCACGTGCCAGGGCCGTGGGCGGAGCTGCCTACCAGTCCCACGCTGCCTACTTGCACTCCTCAGCCCTTGGGTGGATGATGGGAGCAGGTGCCGGGGAGCAGGGGCGGCTCCCTTCGGGAAGGCTCAGGCCGTGCAGGAGCCCACTGTGGGGCAGGGGGTGGGTGGGGCATGGCAGGCTGCAGGTCTCGAGCCCTGCCCCACAGGGAGGTGGCTGAGGCCCAGTGAGAATTCGAGCATGGCTCGGGCGGGTTGGCACTGCTGGGGGACCTGGTGCATCCTCCGCAGCTGCTGGCCGGCGTGCTAAGCCCCTCACTGCCTGGGGCCGGCTGCTCCAAGTGCAGGAGCTCATGCCCACCCGGAACTTGAGCTGTCCCACGAGCACCGCATGCAGCCCGGTTCCCACCCGTGCCTATCCCTCCACGCCTTCCTGCAAGCAGAGGGAGCTGACTCCAGCCTTGGCCAGCCCAGAGAGGGTCTCCCACAGTGCAGCGGCAGACTGAAGGGCTCCTCAAGCATAGCCAGAGCAGACGCCGAGGCCAGGGAGGCGCTGAGAGAGAGCGAGGGCTGCCAGCATGTTGTCACCTCTCAGTGGGAGGTAATTGAGTCATGGAAGTGGTTCTTTCTGGTGCCGTTCTTGTGGTAGTGAATACGTCTCACGAGATCTGATGGTTTTATAGAGGGGAGTCCCCCTGCACATGCTCTCTTGCCTACTACCATGTAAAATGTGACTTTGCTCCTCCTTCACCTTCTGCCATGATTGTGAGGCCTCCCCAGCCATGTGGAACTGTGAGTCCATTAAACCTCTTTGCTTTATAAATTACCCAGTCTGGGACATGTCTTTATAAGCAGTGTGAGAACAGACTCATACAGTGGGCTTCTGTTCATGCCTGGACTGTTGTTCACAATTGACCTTGAGAAGACTTTTCTCCACCTTTGGGCTTCAGTCTTCCAATCTCTATCAAAAATACACAAAATAATCCCTGTCCTGTGAATTTAGAAAAATGATAAAAATTTATCAAACTGTTGGACTATATTTGGTCTGCAGATGTGTAATGCATTTTGTATGGCCGACCTAGGATTTTTGTAATATGTAAGCCAATATTTAAAAATAAGGATATTTAATACAGCAATCTGCATTCATAGAGTTTCTTTTATGATCTAAGGCTTGCCACACTTGTGTCTGCCCTCTACATATGGGGCGCCTTTGGAGGGAGCTGAGCTCAGCCTCCTCCTTTCAACAGACACGAGCTGCTCTGTCCTCAGTAGACAAATTACTGACATGCACTGTTTCTCCCCCTCACTGGGAACTCATGTCTGATGCCATTAATCCTCACAGTTTGACTGTGGTTTCCTCCATAGAAAAAATAAAGAGAAATATGTATTGTACCTATGTCTCTATTAAAGTGAGACTTTATTTAAAAATATTGAGTGAGAGAGCTGCTAATTTCCAGAACAGTGGCCCTGGTGACATTTGACTTTCCAAAATTTTATCTAAGAATATTATAATAGTCACCTCAGTCCAAGTATTTTATCTACAGGCTAAAAACCCCACATCACCAATTCCCATAGTCTGGACTCATGGGGTCTCTTCTCTTTCTGGACTCATGGGGTCTCTTCTCTTTCTTCAGCAGTCTTTGTAATTCTTACCAAAATGAGTTCTTCTCACTCAATGACAGTTAAATATGCAAATGTCTTTTCTGAGAGCTACAGAATGAGAGGGAGAAAGGAGATTAACACATCTGTTTTTCTCATAAGACTTAGACTTTATTTTGGAAGTCCCAATGAAAATACAAATAATCCTAAAGCATCTGATAATTATAATTTCAGACATTTACTAAGATTTGTTATTTGGCAAATCCTGTGTTAGAAATTTTTACATATTATTTCGTTTAATTCTCAACACAATCCTGAGTGGTGGGTATTATTATTCCTCTTTGCAGATGAGGAAACAGCCTCAGAAATGTGCCCAAGATCACATAGAAAGTAGGTGGTAGGATGAGGTTTGAACACTAGATTAATTATTAGGTTTAGGGTTAGGGCTGGGGTTAGGGCTAGGGTTAGGGTTCAGGTAGGGTTAGGGTTACGGTCAGGGTTAATACTACAAGTGTTTTCATTCCTATGTCAGAACAAGATTTGCTAAGAGATTCACAGTCACTCTCCAGAGGGTTGAAGAGTTTTCGGCAAAGATGTTTTTAATTTTTCTTTTCTTTTTTTTCTTTTCTTTCCTTTCTTTTCTCTTCTCTTCTTTTCTAAGAGTCTTTTTTTATCCTGCCGCCACCCCTTTTATTAACCTCCAATGCAGAGATTTGATTTTTCACGCTTCTCACTTCAAGGCACATCCCATTGCCCTAGGCAGGATGTTGCATTTGTTTTATTTCATTTTCTTTCTTCATTTCAGATTCCTACTTGCATCTCATTCTCTGTCGTATAGACATAGACATATGTCTTGTTTAGGAGTTGTAGCTTTGTACAATATGTATTGTTGTGGTGGTGGTTTTTGAATTTGTGTGTGTTACTTAACATGAATAGGATTAATCTGGAGATTTCTAAATACACATGGTTTGCTTTCTTTTAGTTTTACCTAAGCCATATTTTCACATAGGACCAGATAATTCTAAAAGGCTTGTCAGTCAGCCATCCCTTTACAGTCCTCCTCTTTCTCTCCTAATGGAAAGCATTTCTAGCTGATTCCTTTGGGATTTACTTCCAACTCTCTCTGTAACATACTTACAGTGGCACTTGAATATTTTTTTCAGTGTTAGTCATTGTTTATGCTTTCCCCCTCTAGAAGACACGTATTAATCTCTCACATATGCCTGCCGTCTTCCGGTATCCATCCTTTCCAACCTCCATTCCCCCACTGTAGTAATATGTTGTGGCTAAATCAATATTCTGTTGTGGAAATAAATGAAGACCACCAAAATGAGAACCAACACAAGCTATTCACTCAGAGCTTTCTGTGGCCAAAATGGGAACCAACACAAGCTATTTACTCAGCGCTTGCTGTGGCTAGGGCGTCAGGGACCATCCCTTGCATTTGGCAGAGACTAGAACACAGGTGGAGGAGTGAGAGAGCTTAGAGTGGGAAAAATAAGGCTTCAGGTGTGCTCAGGTCCCAGGTTACTGGCCCAGGGAAGCTTTAGGTGAATTAACTAGAAGAAGGCATCTCATGTAATGGGCTTGGGAGCAGCTTTGGCTTTCTCTAGTTGGTCTTGAATTGGAGGGAAACTGGAAGTCACTCACCAAGTTCTGACCATTCTGGGCAAATGGCTGTGGAGGCTGCGATTGGGCTTTCCAGTGCTGGTTGTTGCAGAGCCTGAGCTTTGTGAGGGAGTTCTACTGCCACAAAAGTTCCAGCTCTCTGTCTGCATATTCAAGCTCATTGTGTAGCACTATGCAAATCTTATTCAAGCCGAGCCTTGTGTAGTTTCCTGTACACACTTCATTTTCCTGAATACTTACTGTTTTGTCTTGAGTTAATAATTATGTCTTTTGTGTGCAGGTATGTGTGCATGGTTTTCTATACATTGATTATTAACTCCAAACTCTCTGCCATTTGTCAAACTCTCTTTTTTTTTCTGTTTAGTAAAATTAGTTATTTCATTCACGTGGCCTTCCTGAAAGATCCAGTTTTGCAGTCTTCTGACACATGCCTGTTGGACACACTTGCCATTTTGGGGACCTTTTTCACCATCCTATGGGGACTCCCTTTGCCCTTCTCCTGTGTAAGCTCCACTTTTTAACAATTTCCATGAATGTCTCCTGCTGCGTTTATGTCCTCATTTTGGTAGAGCACTTTATCCAACAACCTCCTGAAAGGGGGTGCATGGTAAGTAATTTTCGAGACCTTACATATGTGGAAAATACCTATTCTATCCTATTCTTATCTGCTTCATATTAAACTTTAACATAAAATCAATTTCCTTAACAACTTAGAAGACATTGCTCCATTGTTTTTGACGTTCTGATGTTGCTATTGAGAAGACCGAAGATGATGTAATTCTTGTTGTTGTTGTTTGGTAATAGAAATAAAGACTCGGAATTTTAAAATTCAACTTTTCTATGCCCTGATCACTGGCAGGTGAGAAGAAAAAATTGGGACAGACACGGTAATGACTTGAAGGGCTTTTTTTTTCTTTTTTCTTTTTTCTTAGCTTATGTGAAACTTGTTCAGGAAGCTTGGCAAAGAAGAATTTATTAGCAGGAGTGGGGATGGGGGTAGGAGTGGGGTTGATGTATCTGCCTCTTTTTACAGAAGCCAATCTTTTTCCCTTTGATCACACATCGTGTGTAACATCTGAGATCCTATGGGTAGGGGTATTTGAGGACCAGAGGAGCTTTGGGCACGACAGGAATATGCTGAGGCAAAGAGAAATTTGGGGAAAGGCATCAGGGCACTGAATTGTCCTGGTGGGGAAGGGTAGATGGGCTCATCAGAACTTAGCATGTTCTTAGTCTTTGGAAGTTCACAGATCTCTGACTGTCTCCAGTGTTCTGAAATCGCTGTGCTCTATTGTTCTCAATTGTGCTGTGCCTGTTGTAGAATCTTCCAATCAGGAAGTCCACATCCTTCAATCCGTTTATCAGATTAATATAATTCCTCTCTATTCCAGGTTTTGTGGGGGTTTTTTTGTTGCGGATAACAGCATGTTTTGCCAAAAGCTTTTTCTACATTTATGTAAATAGCTATACTTTTATCCTTAGTGCATATAATTTTGTATCACTTATTTCCTTTAATATGACAGTAAGTACATTTATGAATATTATGTACTAGCCATAAGTATATTTTTATATTTCTTTACATCATAATAAAATTTAGTGAAGATGCAAAAGCTGCCTTTCTCTCACAATTCTCTCCTCAGTCACAGCCTTCCTGACTTTTTCCTATAGGGGCCTGATTATAAGATGACCATATAAATTATATGATCTATCCCATAGACAGAATTTTTTCTTAGAGACACATGCTTTCCTATGTAAACTTATATTTGATTACCTGGTTGCAGAAGCATTTTTTCCTTAGGTTATGAGAATCTATGCTAAGTGCAAAAGATATATGGTTATCAGGCAAAGAGAAAGGAGTACATGAACAAGTACATTCAATCAGTTAAATCTGGGATGCTCAATGGCATATTTTAGGGTCTATGTTAAAAATAATTTAACAGAAAGGTTAATATCAGATATTGTTACTGGATTGGCCAGAGGCAACTGTAGGGAAAAGGAAAGACCGGGAATCTTGGGATAATTTATGAATCATTCACTCACATGGGTATCTTGGAAACATGAAATATACAGGCATCATCCCAGGTGCTGGAGATACAGAAGAAGGTAGATGCCATCTGTATCTTCACAGAGCTTATTCTGGAGTGGCAAAAGCAGATCGTACAAATACTAAATAAAATATGCCCAGTGTTATGTGAGGCGGATCTAGAGGTACACAACAAGGGACCTGAAGCATACAAGGCTTAGGAGAGGTGGCCCCAAAATAGAGGGTTTTAAGCTGAGACCAGAGTCTGAGGAGGAAGGGGAGAATGTTACCGTCAGTGGGAGTCACCTGTGCAAAGTCTCAGAATTCAGAGAAACTGGCTTAAGATGAATCTGAGGATGTAGACAGGAGAGAGATCATGAAAAGTCACACTAAGAAGTTTGGATTTTACCCTACAAGCAATGGAAATCATTACAAAGTACTTATCAGGGTGATGAAATGATAAAAATCTTGCTTTAGAAAAATCATTCTGGTTGTTGTGTAGAGAATACATGACAGTCAACAGGAGTAGAGGGGCAGAGACTTTTGACTATCTTAATAATTCAGGTAAGAGATGATGGTCACCTGGATTTTTGTTAGGGTGCTGGGCATGGAGATAAATTAATGGGGTCAAGAGATATCTGGGAGATGGAATTAATTGTACTAGACATTTGGCAAGGAAGGAAAAGAGGGAGAGAGAAAAATAAAGGATAGTTCCCACATTATTCTCAGTGCCCAGTAGATAAAAAGTTTCCATTTGTTTCCCATAGAGACTGCTGTTGGAGAACCAACTTTGGAGAAAGATAATGATCTCTGTTCTGAGTTATTTGCCTTTGAGTTCTCTGATGACATCCAAGTGTGAATATTTGCCCGGGTGGTGGATGTGTGGGTCTGAAGCCAAGAAAAGAGGTTTTGGGTGGAGGCATACAAATGAAAGCTGTCAAAATTAGACAGCAATGGAAGCCCTGGACTCAATCAGCCCAGCAGGTAGAAAGAATTTCTTGACATGTTTATTTAAAAATGTTTTTTCTAGGGCTTAGTCAAAACCGATGCCCTGTTTCTTGGGTAAGTCCAAAGAACATGCATTTGAATACGTTTCCAGGTGGTGCTTCTAGACACTAATGTGTGCAAGCTATTCATCTTGAAGATAAGAAAATAAATCCAGAGACTGTGTGCCAAGGAGTCAGGCATTAAAGGGTATGTGGAGAATGAGGATCCATCAAACAGATTAGGATGGAGCAGGAAAGATGCATGGGAAGAAATTCTATAAATGTGTGAAACAAAAATAGGACAGTGTTTAAAGAAGGATGGCATTACTAACAATGTCAAATTCTTTCATGGGTTCAATTAAAATGAAAACTGAAAATGTCCTGGACTCAACAAGATGGAGATTTCACTGATTTTTTTTTTTCTTTTCTCACTCTGTCGCACAGGCTGGCGTGCAGTGGTATGATCTCAGCTCACTGCATCCTCCATCTCCTGGGTTTAAGTGATCCTCCTGCCTCAGTCTCCCTAGTAGCTGGGACTACAGGCACACACCACTATGCCCAGCTAATTTGTGTATTTTTAGTAGAGATGGGGTTTCACCATGTTGGCCAGGCTGGTCTCGAACTCCTGACCTCATGTGAAACACCTGCCTTGGCCTCCCAAAGTGCTGGGATTTCAGGTGTGAGCCACTGTACCTGGCCCAATTTTACTAATCTTAAAGAACAGTTTCAGTGGGGTGATTGGAACCAAAAGAGACTGCAGTGGATTGAGGAGTGCATTTCGGATGATCTGGGAAAAAGCGGTCTAAAAAGTTAGGCTGAGAAGGGGAAGAGGGAGAGGGGATGGCTAATAGAGAGCCAGAGAGTTTGATTCTCCTTCATGTGGAACTGGCTTTCAGTTTATTAAAATCTTAATGAGAAAGAGCCATTAGGAAAGGAGAAACTGGAGAGAAAGTAGCAATATGAACAGAACAGGTTTTAGGGAGTCCGGAGGAGATGGACCAGAGCATCTGTGGATGCACTCGTGTGAGACAGACTACTTTCTGCTATCAATATTGATAACAAGCCCTTTCCTTCAAATGTTCTATGGGAAGTAATACCCAGTTATAGCTATTCATGTTGTTGGTGGCTACATAAATATGTCTATTTCTTTTACAGTAAACTTAAAGCATTATTTTATATTATTTCAATACAAATCCTTGATGACCCCAACTACTTGGATTTCTGTATTAGAAAACAGAGAGAATCAAGATATACTTATAGGTATCTTTTACATTGAATATTTTACTTTATCTGCCTAATTTAAGTTGTGAAATATAATGTCTAAAGACCTAATTTTGACGTGTTTGAGGCTATCAACAAACACCAACCAGAATTGTGTAGCAACAAATAAAAATTGAATGAATGTCAGACTTGATTCTTTCCTTGGTGAATATTTGTCGTGTTAGCACATATTTGCTGAATTCACAGAGACAGGGTTGTTAAAGTGTATTTCCTTCCCTGCCACTTTTGGCACCTCTTTTCCTCCTCAGCAATAATAATTTTCAGTTCAACATTTGCCAGAGCAAAATATTCCCCATGTAAAACTTCAAGTGCCTGTGTTTTGAATTTGGTTTTTGGGAAGAGTGGTAGTTATTTGGGGTGGTGAAGGAGATTTGAGTGAGGACATGAAGCTCTTATTTCTGTTCTCTGTGGTTACTCCAGATTGAGAAGCTCCAGGTTACCTGCAATTTATCAGTTGCCCAAAGAACATGTTCCACTCCCTGACAAATTAATGTGCCCCATATGTCAGTACTTGGTTTATAGATGGTTTGTCTTTTTTTATTTTTTATCTCATGTGAATGTGAGTTGAAGTCAGAAACTACTTTTTTTCCTCTCTATTTTGCATCAACATTTGAAAAAGGCCCCAAACGCACACATCTTCACTATCCAGGCTGGTAACCAAATGCATAAGGCAGGTTGGATTAAACCAATAATGACAATTTTTGCTTGCTCTGATTCCAAGTCAAATAAGTGCCAATTATGAGACCCTTTAAATGCTCTCTAGGGGTAAGCCAGTTGGCATTGCTAAAAATGAATGATGGGTACACAGGGATTCATTACACTCTTCTTTTTGCTTTTGTGTATGTTTGCAATTTTCCATAATAGAAAATTTTTTTAAAAAGTGCTCAAGAGCCAAATTAAACAGTCACACACCATCTGCACCCTGTCTACACAAACCGTTTTGCAATTCCCGGAAGGAACTCTGAGATTGAGACACTTTATCTCACGCACCTTTTTCTGCAATGTTATATGTGTGAGTGTCATGGACTGGGCACCCTGGATCTTTGACTATTGAGGAGATAACAGGATAGAAAGGGAAGACCACAGGCTTAGGAATGGAAAGATTGTCCATAGGTGTGAGTGCTCCTCCTCTCCCTACTGGCCATGCAGCTTTGAGACAGTTACTTTTCTCCTGACCCAGGTGTTCTTATCGGCTAGCTGAATGTGCAGGGGATATATTGACAAAATAACCTAATGTTTGCAAATATAACTCACAAACTCTGTTTGGCTTCATAAAACCTGGTTATTATTCAATAATGGTAATGATAAGTGGTATTAGTATATGCCAGCTAACCACTGTAAAGGCACAATGATGGTTCACCTGTACAGTGGCATTGGGTAGAGGAATTGCATTGGGTAGAGGAATTGCTGTACCAACAAGTTTTTGTTTATAAATGAGAAAACTGGGGGTCCGAGGGGTGAAGCACATTGAACAAAGACACTAAATAGTGCTTGCCAAGGCCAAGTTTGAACCAAACCTGTTCCACACCTGCTTGTAACCTGATTCTGCACAAGCCATCAGGGACAGATGGGAGCTCTGTTGTGCATTTTCAACCAATCTTTGACCCAAAAGCATGTTACCTGTACAGAATGCAAATTCCATTTCATCCAAGTTGAGAGAAAGGAAACTTCACCACGTCTTTCAGCCTAGAGAGCCCAGGCCTATAGGATTTCTACTTCATCAAAATGACTGAGAGGCCTGTGGGTTAATGGCAAAGTTGGCCACAGCCTTCCTTTCTTCCCAAGTCCTCTGCCCCCAGCTCCCACCTGTGTGGGCCGCAGGAGGTGCTAGTGCTGGAGGGTGGGCTCTGGAAACAGAATTCACATGGAACACAGTGACAAAGTAAGTAACCAGAACTGCACTATTCATCCCAAACCTGGGATCAACAACTTTCCATTTTTTAAGATTCCTTTATATGCTTTTTGCGTTTTTTATTTTGTTAATTCTCTTATGCATTCTCTTATATTTTCAAGATTTGCCTTAGTTGTTATGACCCTAATTTTGTGGGCTTTTGCAAATAAGTTTATCTACATAGACAAACATTACTCCTTTTTTTCACAAAGGTCAATATAGCCTGGAAGAGAATGATTTACAGGGACGTTGAAAACAAACGGGAACTTTTAATACAGTTTTCAGTGAAGTCCGATACAATATGTCTGAATTTACGCCATTTGAATATATTAGATACAAAAAGAAAATCACATTGCTTTGAAAGAACATACCTTTTATTTCTGGATTTTAGTTGAAAGCCTAATAGAAAATAAATTGTCAAATGTGGGGAGCTGGTAAATCTCATTAAATTGAATTGGGAAGTTATAGATGGCATTAAATAATTCACTTTCATCAAGAGGAGAGGAGAGAAGAGCAGAAAACATCAGAAAAGAAGCTATGCATCTTTCTACTTTTAAAAAGCTTGTGTTTGATTGTTTTCTCCAGATAAATATTCATATTAAATGCTTTTCTTCATCACTTCTGGAAATCACTCCTCAAAAGCCTTCTATTTTCTTTCACTGTTTTGAAGTGAGCTGATACATCATAAAAAGTGATGAAAACCTCTGCAGCCTTCTCAGATGGCGACCGGCTCTCCTGTGAGCTGCAGGTGATATCAATAACTTCTGCCAGGCTTAATTATAGTCTTCTTACAGTGTTATTTATTTATTTATTTTACTTTTTAAATATTTTTTTTTCTTTTTTTGAGACAGAGTCTCATTCTGTCACCCTGGCTGGAGTGCAGTGGGACTAACTCGGCTCACTGCAGCCTCTGCCTCCCAGGTTCAAGTGATTCTCCTGCCTCTGCCTCCCAAGTAGCTGGAATTACAGAATTACAGGCCCATGCCACGATGCCCAACTAATTTTTTTTTTTTTTTGAGATGGAGTCTCACTCTGTCACCAGGCTGGAGGGCAGTGGTGCAATCTTGGCTCACTGCAACCTCTGCCTCCTGGGTTCAAGTGATTCTCCTGCCTCAGCCTCCTGAGTAGCTGGGACTACAGGCACGCACCACCACACCCAGCTAATTTTTTTGTATTTTTAGTAGAGATGGATTTCACCATTTTGGCCAGGATGGTCTCTGTCTCTTGACTTCATGATCTGCCTGTCTCGGCCTCCCAAAGTGCTGGGATTGCAGGCATGAGCCACCACACCCGGCCTAATTTCTGTATTTTTTAATAGAGATGGGGTTTCACCATGTCGGCCAGGCTGGTCTCAAACTCCTGGCCTCAAGTGATCTGCCTGCCTCAGCCTCCTGAAGTGCTGGGATTACAGGCATGAACCACTGAGCCCAAAGTATATTTTTCGTTTATATGATTCTCATCATTGGAAATATTGCTCAGATTGTTTGCAAAAATGATAAGTCAACAATTCCCCTAGATAGAGTGCCTAAATAGCTAATTAAGGGTAGGCTTGTTGTGGAACTAATGTCTGAGTCAGAATATGCGGCTTTGGTGATTTTGGAATCAAGTCTTGGGATACAATTTCTACCATGCATAAGGGGTTAATTTGAGGCAAACAGGACCAGTTGTCCTGGGCTCTAAAGAAGCAGTGTCTAGTAAGCCCCTTGGAGATCCAGGAAGAGGAGTTGCTAATGCCATCAGGTCCGACCAAGGGCTAACATCAGCTGAAATATTTGAAATCTCTATTAGTATGTTTCTGGGAATGAGTAACTGGCCCATTGCACAATGGAGGTTGTTGAATTCAAATGTAGAATTACATAGGTCTGAACAATAGATTGTGATAATTCATTCTTTTTCTTGAAGAGATGAATGCAAGAAGGGTCAGAGGTTGATTTGTTTAGGGATATTATTTTCCAAGTAGGTGAAAGTTGAAAGGCCGTTGGCTATAATTCCCAAAGGTCTCATGCAATGAGACCAAAATGGCTCAGAAATTTTTGTCATGGGAGTCTGGTGATGATGACACGTCCAGCAGTCAGTAAAGGGAGGGGCAGGGGCTACTGTTTGGAATAACCTAAGGGTAACATTAGAATGAGTATAACAATTATAACATAGAGGAAAGAAAAGAGTAAAAGGACCATTATGAGTGGATGCCAGAGATATATAGACATTGAGAGGAAGAATGATTATAATAAAGCAGGTGAAAACAAAACAGGAATTAGACAAGGATCTTGGGAGGCGGAGCTTGCAGTGAGCTGAGATCGCACCACTGCCCTCCAGCCTGGGCGACAGAGCGAGACTCCGTCTTGAAAAACAAAAAGCAAAGAAATAGAAGAATGGCTACTCCATAGGCAGAGCGGCGGCATGGGCTGCTAGACTGAGTGTACTTAGAGTTGCTTCTCGATTATATGCTAAACAAGAGGTGGATTACTCATGAGTTTTCTGGGAAAAGACTGGGCAATTTCTGGAACTGAGGGAGGTTTCATCCCCTTCTTAGATCATAGAAGGTAACTTCCTGATGTTGCCAAGGCATCTGTAAGCGGTCATGGCACTGGTGGGAATGTCTTTTAGCACGAGATGATTTTGTCAGAGGCGTTTGAACCAGAGCGACTCCATCTTGAACAGGGACTGGATAAAATAAAGCTGAGACCTATGGGCTGCATTCCCAGGAGGTTAGGTATGCTTAGTCACAGGATGAGATAGGAGCTGGGCACAAGATACAGGTCATAAAGACCCTGCTGATAAAACAGGTTGCGATAAAGAAGCCACATCCCACCATGAAAGTGACTCCGGTCATTCTCGCTGCTCATTGTAATGCGTTAGCATGCTAAAAGACACTTTCCTTCCTATCTTTGTTTGCTCTGAGAACGCATTTGCTAGATCCTCCAAACAGGTTCATTTCTTTCCATTTTTAGGAAAGAGGAGGATATTTCTGATGAACAATATTGGTGAAAGGCCTTAATGTATTCTCCTCTCCAAAATAAACGACCAGTATCATATAAAAAGTGGGAGAGAAAGAGACGGAGGAAATAATTCTACCAGCTTGTATTTTCTAGGCCAGGTCATTTCTCTATCGCCTCCCTACTGAGTGTTTTACTTTTTCAAGTTGTATTAAAATAGATGACTTAATGTTCACTCAGAATTTTTCCAAAGGGATCCGCTGACAAGGACATTGAACTCCCGTTGCGTATTCAGCTGCCCACAGCTACCCAGTGCTCCCTGGCTCCTTTAATCTGCATATGAAAGAGACCAAGGCAGGAGTAGGGAGAGAAGGGAAGGGCCTCTTGCTCTTCGTCTAAGCACTGAATGTGCTCCTGTGAGGGCAAGGGCATCTGGGGCTTGGGCACCGATCACAATATTTTGACCTTGTGTGAACTCCTCTTTCCTGGCCCAGACAAGGGCTTCACCAGGTGAGGACCGTGCTGTCAGCCTCGGCCACTACTGAATCCACCTTTGAAAAAATCATAACAGAAAATTATGATGGTGAAAGAGATCTGACCTAACTCACTCCATCTTGCATCTAACTTCCAAGCTGTCATTGTTCATTCCTGGGCAGATGCCAAATTACATTTAGGAGAAATTTAGTTTATAGCTTAACTTTAAAACAGAGACCACAGCAGCCCTTTCCCATAACAAACTCCCTTCCTGCCTGGGCACTAGGCTGCCTTTGCAGGACTAACAAATTAGCCACAGGATTCAAAATTATGATTTAGGGGTTATGCAGCTAGAGGCTACAAGATTCTGACCCTTTCCAAATTGCTCCTGGGGATCACGTCACTATTGTAAAACCTAAGATGAGTGCTTGAGATACTTTTCAGGCCTTGTTCTTGATGGATCCGCTGGTAAGACCCAGATCTATAAACTGGCTGGTCTGCTCTTCTGGCCCTCACCCGGAAACTGACTCAGCACAGGAGGACAGCTTCAATTCCTTAAGATTTCATCTCAGCCCAACCAACCAGTACTCGCCACTTTCCAACCCCCTACCCACCAAAATATCCTTAAAAACTCTGACCCCCGGATTTTCTGGGAGACTGATTTGGTCATAATAAAACTCCAGTATTCCCATACAGCCGGCTATGCATGAATTAAACCCTTTCTCTATTGCAATTCATCTGTCTTGGTAAATTGGCTCTGTCTAAGCTTTGGACAACAACCCGTCAGACAGTAAGTTACACTACGGGATGTGGAACACAAGATGGTGGGCTCCGGTCCCTGCTCAGCTACTCACTCAAGTGTGTGAGGATCTCAGCTTCCACAGTAACCTGGAGTTTTAGTGGAGCATTCATTGACTAAAATTGTGTTTGTTGAGCATGTACTGAGTACTCACAGAGCCTCTCCTCCAGGACCCCTTAGCATAGTAGCAAAGAGAGATGTGAACAAGAGCAACAGTTGTCATGATTATCAATATGGGAACAGTCACAGCCTCCTCACTTTCTCAGAATAACAAGACAAGGCTTTCTTGCAAAGCCAGCTCCAGAGGGGACACTGCTCCTCTTCTGTGGCTTCCACATTTCTGCTGCCCCCAACTCAGAATCTGGGCCCCTCAGCCTTTGCATGGATGCAGGGAGTTGCAGCCAGAAATAAAGATCACTGTAGGCCCCACACTCTCCTGGGGCTTCTATCAGTGCCCTGATGAGGCCATTATTAGTCATGGGAAAGGCCCCCTCACAGGTGTTGATGACATTTGTGTTCAAATTTTAGTACTGTTGCAACAATTACTTAAAAAAACAAGAGAAAAAGAAAAGAAGAGAGAGCTGAAAATGAACATGTCTATTTAAAAAAAATCTCAATTTTTATTCAACCAGAAAAAAATGAGATTTTGTAATAGCAAAAAGTAAGCTGAAAATGTAAGGTCCAGGCACTTTATTTCCCAGTACTTTACAGCCAAAAGATATTCATTTTCTGAAATATGCCTATGCCTGTTACTTCCACTCATAAGCCAACTCTAAGAATTTAGGGATTATAACAGACAGCAAGATAATTTCTATTATGGAAAAGCAAAGAAAAATCCAAAATCATGACTTGCAAGCTGTTTGTGATAGTAAAGATTATTCAGTCATCCCAAATTCCACATAATGTAATAAAAATGGCTGTGAGTTGACACTCGATGGAAACGTATATGTTTAATTAGATTCATTAAATTCAGATCTGGATTCCAGTAACACGGGTCTAAGGGAAACATGCTTATTTTCCCAATCTTATTCTTTAAACCAGCTTCATTTGAATGCAAACTCTTTTAAAAAAATCTCAGTCATTTTAATATTGAAATTAATATGAAAAACAAGTAATTTTATATAACGATTTCCAGAAAGCCCTTCATACCTAATGTGCTTGTAGCTATGAATGTAAAATAGCATTTTACAATTTCATCAGCTCAATGAGCAGAACAGATTTAAATGCATGCATAATTATTATACATAGTACACCTGGTAGCTCTGATTTCTCACACTGGGGTTACTTAATTTTCTTTCCTTTTTTTTCAATTTAGGATGGGTTTATTAGGATGTAATCCCATCATAAATCGAGGAGCATCTGTATATCACTTTGGGTTTCTAATGTAGATTGCATTTCCCTATATAATCCTAAGTCTAGCCATATAAGCATTTTTAAAAGTTAAGTGTAAAGTATGTTGGAAACATTATCCCAATGAAAGAGGAGACTTCAATCTGATGATGTCATATATTCTCAAAGACACCATGGCTTTTTAATGAATTACCAAATGTAGTTCAGAGATTGCAAACGGGCAATTTTCAGATAAAATCCACCCTATATTTTTCTCTTAAAATGCTCTGTGTTTAAATTTAATTTTAATTAATTACCAACAGTTTGTAATAGTGGGGTCTCAGGTAAACATTAATATTTTAGCCTCCTCTGCTTTCATTAGAAGATTTGCTCACCCTCGGCCTGAGTTCCTATTGGGCAACAATCAGCACAGCTGAGAGTGCACATTTCTACCCTGCAGGGGCTTCTGGTTTCAGCACGGTCCCTGTGGTTTCCCATACCTCACACTTCATCACTTGCTTTTCACTCCAGTATTGGAGTTTATCACCCTAAGATTTTAAAACTTATCGTGCTAGGCTATCATCTGGGCTCATTCAGGACGAAACCCAATGCACAATGTGCCTATATGCTGATTCCTACAGTAATTTATAGCATAGAATGTTTGAAGAATGTGGAAGTGTTATGAATTTTCTTTTCCTTTGATACCAATAAAACCAGAAGCAGAAGCTGCTGCCCAGTTTCTTTCTTTCTTTTTTTTTTTTTTTTGAGACAGAGTCTCACTCTGTCCCCCAGGCTGGAGTACAGTGGTGTGATCTCTGCTCACTGCAACCTCTGTCTCCTGGGCTTAGGTGATTCTCCTGCCCCAACCTCCTGAGTACCTGGGATTACAGGGATGCACCACAACACTCTGCTATTTTTGTATTTTAAGTAGAGAGGGGGTTTCATCATGTTGGTCAGGCTGGTCTCAAACTCCTGACCTCAGGTGATCCACCCACATTTGCCTCTCAAAGTGCTGGGATTACAGGTGTGAGCCACCGCAGGATCATCTGAGGTCAGAAGTTCAAGACCAGCCTGGCCAACATGGGAAAATCCCATCTCTATAAAAAATGTAGGTGGCACCAGCCTGTAATCCCAGCTATTTGGGAGACTGAGGCACGAGGATCCTGGGAGGTGGAGGTTGCAGTGAGGCAAGATCACGCCACTGCACTCCAGCCTGGGTGACAGAGAAAGACTCTGTATCCAAAAAAAAGGAATTGAACTCAAGTGCCTGGAAGCGAGTGTTGTCTAAAGGGAAAGGACATTGAAACATTGGGAGTCTTGTGAAACATTATTAAAGTCTCACTCTGATTGATATTTGCCCAGAATGTTATTTTAAAACACAAACTGATGTGCCTACCTGGCATTCTATCTAACACAGTTACTATGTACGATGCATATTTGTCCTACTGTGGGGGCACTCAGTATATTTTGAATACTGTTCCTATGTCTCAGTAATTTCCTACTTCATGGACATCTACATACATTTATTCTGCACCTTTAATATACTCAGCATAGTGTTAAATCCTTAATGAGCTCAATGCCAGTCAAGAACCAGTCCCTAGCAGGAAAGCCTCGACCAGGTAACGACTTCTAGATATTGCTTTATGCCATCAAATTAGCCACAAATACTGCTCCCATCATAAGCAGCTGCTTCTGAAAACAAAAATTATACCTGGTATAATGGTTAAGAATGCAAACTCTGGAGTTAGACTGCCTTGGCTTACATTTCAACTTTAATGGCTTAATGACTCAATCTCTGTGTCTCAGTTTCTTCTTCTGTAAAATGGGATGACATTAAAACTTACTTCACAGGCTTGGTGGGAGAGTTGGGTCTAATAATGCTTGGACATCACTGTTTCTGTAACTGCAGCAATAACAAAGAAGCAATAACAAGCTCCACAGTATTGTCAGTAAAGGGCTGGGAGCATGTGTCTTGTCCGTTTACAGAATGAAATGCAACCAGGGCGAGTACAGAATGAGGGAATATTGGAAAACGTGCATGCATGTGCGTGTAAAACCAAAATGAGCTGCAGAAAGATCTCAGGAGTGGGCCAGTGTGGACAGGGAAGAGCTGCAGGGAAACCTTTAGCAACAGTCTTTACTGGCTGTAATTTCTCTTTGTGTTTTCAATTACAATAGACACAGGCTTCCTTCTGGACCAGAGGTAAAAAAAATGGGACTGGAATACAGGCAGGATACCAGTGCAGATTTAACATGTCCTTGGATCTGAGAGCATTTGCTCATCTTTTAAAGCCTCCTTTGGGAGAAGTTCTACTTCCAGAAACAAAGGAATTAAAGGGAATGTGCCATTTTTGTTGAGGCAGAGAAGAACAGAGTTTACCGAGGTCTTTGTGTCCTTTCAAGAGTAAACATGACTTACTGTGTGTGAAACTTGATCTCTGCAGATGGACTGAAATCTCCAGATAAGGACACATTGGTCTTTCTTAGGGATGCCATCCTCATGTTAAATAGAAAAAGAAGTGAGATTAATTGAGGCAAAAATATGTATATGAGCCTTTATATTTTATATTTAGTGTTCTGACCAAAATGAATATAAAATGACAGCTTCTTCCTTGGCAATATCTGAGCATTTGGATCATTTCCTTCTAACCTGTGTCTCCTCTTTATTCCAGAGCCAGGTCTGCACTTCTGTTTGAAGCTCCTCAACAGTGGAAGTTGGGAGGGAGGGATTTCTAGCCAGAAGAAATAACATGAACGAAGGTATGGCTACACAGACCACCAAGAAGTAAGGAGAAAAACCATCGTGGAAGTTACAGCCTTCATCTCTAACATGTTCCAAAGTTGCATCTCTTTTTCGATAGAAATAAAACAACAGTGATGAAAGCGTCAAAGGAATCCTTCAAAATGGCTTGATGTGTTGGGATTGAAAACCTGCCACTTGAGGTTGCAACCCAGGTGACCCTAATTTCCTGCCAAGTTGAGTACAAGATCTTCTTTTAGCATTGGAAGTATCAGTTTTTGGGACTTCCTACTATAGGATTTATACCAGTGGCCCAGTTCTCAGTCCGCTGGACTTAAACGGAGAGTAACACCCTGCCCTGCTTCTCAGGCCTTCAGACTCAGACTAAATCTTACCACTGATTTCCTGGTTTTTCAGCTTGCAGATGACGCGTCTAGGATTTCTCAACCTCTATAATTGCGTAAGTGAATTCCCATAATAAATATCCTCTTAAATCTATACATCTATATCTATATCACCTATCTATCTATCTATCCATCCATCTATCACATTGGTTCTTTTTCCCTGAAGAATCATTAATATTTTATTTACTATAAGACTCAGTACCTTATGATGAACACTTTTTTATGTCTTATGTATCTTAAGTGTCTTATGATGGACCCTTATGATGGACACTTTCTCTAACACCATCCTTCTTCTCCTCCTTCATCTTTCTTTACCACACAGACTGAGAGTAAAAATACTTTGCAGATCCTCTTGCAACTAAGCATCATGTGACCCAGTTAAAGCCATTTATGAACATTTTTAGGGAAAGCAGCTCTATTCAAATTAAAAGCAAAGGTTTCTGAGAATAAGCCTGTTGGTAGTATTCTCTATTACCTCCTTGGAATATAAATGTAAAGTGCGGTGATAGAGCAGCTATTTCATGCCGGTACCACAGGAGTCACCTGCTGAAGCTGGTGAAGGCAGAGAGAAGGAACCTGGGCTCTTCAATGCAACATGAACCACCACGCCAACGGCCAATAGCTAGACTTCTTTCTTCGTAAAACCACAACTCTTTTATATATTTATAGTATTTAATCAGGATTTATGTTAGCTGGAGTTGAAAACAAAATCTCATGTTACCTCCTCATTGAAAGCCTTGTACTTAATTCTCTCAATAAAGCACTTTCTAGGCCGGGCGCGGTGGCTCACGCCTGTAATCCCAGCACTTCGTGAGGTCGAGGCGGGTGCATCACGCGAAATTGGGAATCTGAGACCAGCCTGACCAACATGAAGAAACCCCGTCTCTACTAAAAAAATATATATAAAATTAGCCGGGTGTGGTGGCACACGCCTGTAGTCCCAGCTACTCAGGAGGCTGAGGCAGGAGAATCACCTGAACCCGGGAGGCGGAGGTGGTGGCGGCGAGCCGAGTTCGCGCCATTGCACTCCAGCCTGGGCAACAAGAGGAAAACTGTCTCAAAAAAAAAAAAAAAAAAAAAAAGGATTTTCTAAAATCGACACTTTCCTAATTACGCCTCTCTATGGCACCTAGAAAACTCCACTTCCCACCCATAAGCACAGATACAGCAGTGTATGGTGGAGAGATAATGAGCTTGAGTCTGGTTATCATAGGTTGAATCTTGATTCAGCTGCTCCGAGTTAAAGCCAGATGCAGCGCTTCTCAGAATGCAGATACGGCTTCCTGCCAAGGTGGTGTGAGTTGCTTTATTTCTCTGTCGTTCTGTGTCTGTGAAGTCATATGCCACGGAGAGATCAAGGATAATTTAAAAACTCCAGTCCACTGAGCACTCAGTCTTGCTCTTCTAATCTTCAGGCGGGAAGTTTTTCTTCCTGCGATTTAGCTCAGAAGATACGAGCTTCCATGTGGGAACACATTCCTGGGGAAACTAGCTGGATAGTGCCCACAGCTGTGGCTCTTTGTTTTTTGTTTTTTTGTGTTTTTTTTTCCTACTCAGAGCATTGTACTGGAAATTAGGGATTATTATACCAGAGCTAATAACACTCTACAGCCGCATGTGAACTGCTAGCCTGTTGGAACTACCTTGCAAATAGTCTATGATTAAGAAATTAAGAAAATACCCATGTGAGTTTAGCTAATCTAAGCCTATGCCAGATGATAGTTTTGAAAAACAGCATTAAATTGTCATGGGCCAATTGTTTCCACAATTTTGTCAAATAACGGTTTTCGATTAGCCTGAGCCAGTAAAAATAACCTCCTTATAAAAAATGTATGTGATTAATAAAAGATGAGCATTTTAAATTTAGTTCCCCTTGCTCTTCCAAATCCTAATTACAATTATTTCTAGTAATCATGCAAAAATTTTATTTTCAAAAAAGTAATCAAAAAGTAAACAAACCAATCTTGTTTAACAATAATACTGACAATATTTTTTTCCAGTTGTGGTTTGCAAACATTTAATTTAGATAAACTTTATCCAAGGTTTTACCAATAATTGAATTTGTAAAACAGAATGATATGCCACCTCCTTATCACCTATTTTAAAGAGTCTCTGCATATTACCTGTCACTTTTTCTGGAAAATATCATGGTTTCCTCATTGATGAGTTAGGAGGTTTGGATGATGGTGAACAGATACCACCCCAGGAACAAAAGCACACCTTTTGTGTCATCTTTTAAAATTTCTTATTTGTACTAAAAAACATAAAGAAAGCCATTAGTATGTATAGAATAGTTTGAGTTTAATAAACTGCCTTCTAAATTATTATTTGATAATTTTTTAAACATTGCAATTGTTTGGCTAGATGCAATGGTACCGTTGTATCTTTTGATTGTGATGTTATTCACATTATACAATTCACCCATTTCAAGTGTGCAACTCAGTATTTTCACAGAGCTATACAACCATCATCACAAGCAATTTTCAAACATTTTCATTAACCCCAAGAGATTTTATACACATTAACCGTCACTCCTCCACCCCAAAACTCTAGGAAATTTACCTTCTGTATTAGTGCATTTTCACACTGCTGATAAAGACATATCTGAGACTGGGCATTTTACAAAAGAAAGAGGTTTATTGGACTTATAGTTCCACATGGCTGGGGAGGGTCCACAATCATGGCAGAAGGCAAGGAGCAGCAAGTCAAGTCTTACATGGATGGCAGCAGGCAAAAAGAGAAAGCTTGTGCAGGGAAACTCCCCCTTCTAGAACCATCAGATCTTCTGAGACCCACGCACTACCATGAGAACAGCATAGGAAGGACCTGCCCCCATGATTCAATCACCTCCCACCAGGTCCCTCCCTCAATACGTGGGAATTCAAGATGAGATTTGGGTGGGGACACAGTCAAACCATACCACCTCCCAACCCCATAAATCTCTAGGAAATGACTAATCTACTTTCTGTCTCTACATGTTTACCTGTTCTGAACATTTTATATAAATTAAATGTATGTAAGTTAACTTTTGTGACTAGCTTCTTTTAATTGGCATAATATTTTTAATATTCATCCATGTTGAATCAAAACTTTATTCCTTTCAATGGCTGAATATTATTCTATTATATGGATAAACTACTTTCAAATTATCCACTTATCATTGACATTTGGGTGATTTCCATTTGGGGCTATTGTTAGTAATGGTGTCATGAACATTAATTTCACAGGTTGTTGTGTGGGTGTCCTCATTTCTCTTGGGTGGAATTGCTTGGAGTGGAATTGCTAAGACATATTGTACCTGTATCCTAAATATTTTGAGAAATTGCCAAGCTGTTTCCAAGGTGACTGCACCACCACTTTACATTTCCACCAGCGATGAATGAGTGCTGAAATGTTTCCACTTCCTCACTAAGCACTTGGCATTATTTGTGGACTTCATTTCTTTTCCATTAGTCTACATGTCTAATCTTATGAAAGTACTATACTGTCTTGATTACTGTAGCTTTGTAGTAAGCTTTGGAATCAAGAAGTCTTTGATTCCAAACTTTGTTTTTTTCTGTAATTTTTTTGTATTGTTTTTGTCTGTAATTTTTTTTCTGTATTGTTTTTGTCTATTCTGGTTCCTTGCATTTCCGTATACAATCATGCACTATGTAAAAGACATGTGAGTCATCAGACTGTGTATATAAAGGTGGTCCCATAACATTACAATGGAGCTGAAAAATTCCTATCACCTAGTCACATTGTAGCCGTTGTGAGTCATAGTACAATGTGCTACTCACATGGTGTTTGTGGTGATTCTAGTGTAAACAAACCTACTGTGCTGCCAGTCATATAAAAGTATATAGTATAGCATAGTGCAGGAATGTCGTAGGGCTTCGTGTTCACCCACCACTCACTCACTCACTCACCCAGAGCAACTTCCTGTCCTGCAAGCTTCATTCATGCTTTCATTCATGCTAAGTGGCCTAGACATTCATTCATGCTAAGTGGCCTAGACCTAGACATTTTAAAAATCTTTTATGCCATGTTTTTACTGAAGATTTTCTAGTTTAGATACACAAATAATTACCATCGTGTTCTAATTGCTACAGTATTCAATACTATTACTATCCAATAGTAACATGCTGTACAGGTTTGTAGCCTGCGAGCTATAGGATATACTATATAGCCTAGGTGTGTAGTAGGCTCTGCCATCCAGGTTTGTGTAAGTACACTCTATCATGTTCACACAATAACAAAATTGCCTAAGGGAGCAATTGTCAGAACATATCTACTTCTTTAAGTGATGCGTGGCTGTACATATAAGCATTAGCTTGTTAATTTCTGCAGAGAAATCACCTGGGTTTTGATAGCGATTGTCTTCAGTCTGTAGATCCATCTAGGAAGTATTGCCATCTTACCATATCAAGTATCTTGATCCATGAGCATGGGATATCTTTGTATTGATTTATGTCTTCTATAGTTTCCTTTTTTCTATTTTAATATTTATTAGTATTTGAAAAAGTAAATTTTGAATTTGAAAAAGTAAAAATTGCTATTATAAATTATAGAAAAAAGATTATAGCATATCTGTCATATAGTGACTTCCTGATGCTCATCTGTAAACCCAGAAAATGTATATATCTGATTTTAGAAAATAGTATTTAGATCACTTACAGGGGTTTATAATTAAAGAAAATTAGTTTTTAATATTGCAAAATAAACACTTTGTCAGAAAAGGTAGATTTGACTTGGTGTGCTGAGTGGTTTTACGTCTGCAAAGGTAACTTTATTGTTCCTACAAGTGGCTGCTCTAGTGCCCATGTTGGGGGTGTAGGGATGGATGCTGCCCAGGGTACCAGTGGGCTGACTTTATTACTGGCCAACACAGGTGCCCTGTTCTATTGCCTTGGCTCTCCAGCTCTGAGGGCTTCCTTCTTCTTTCCAAAGGAGTTAGTGGAACTAGCCATAGCTGCTTACGAAAAAGCAGAACTAGATCTATAAATAGTTATCCTTCTGCATGAAAATGTCAGTATTCAGTTAAGAACAAAACAAAATGACAAATCATGCATTTCAAATAAAGGATATCTTCAAGTTATTAATAAAAATGTTGGGAGGGACTGGATGAGGAGGATGAGAAAATAATAAGTGGTAGAATTAATATTTATCAAATGCTTACAATAAGCCAAGCACCATGCTTAGGCTCATAGACATTATTTTAATTAATTGTCTTATCTATCTTACTGCGGTTTAATTATTTACTCCATTTAATCATCTCAATAACGTATCTTTTAAGTAGATTTATTGGAATGTAATTCATATACAATAAGAATTCACACTCTTAGTGTGCAATTCAGTGGCGACTAGTATATTCAGAGTTGTGCATCCATCACTGCTGAACAAGTGGTACCTGCTGCCTAAATCACCAGGAGCAGAAGTCCAAGCCTTCCTGCCCACTGCATCTTGGTATCAGAGTCACCAAGGAAAATACAAGTCAGTCAAGCACTGAGTAGACTGTCTTATTCACATAGAAAAGACAGAACAAGATCACCTTTGTTGGTGGTCGTTGGCCTTCTACGACCAGAGATTCCCTCCCAGCAGCTGGGGCAGGGCAATCAGCCTGCAGGCACCCCTCTGGTGTTGCTGCACCAGAACCCCAACACCTCCTTTCAAGGACAGACATGGTAGTGGGGCTGGTTAGGTGCCAGACGATCCCATGCAGAACCAAGAAATCCACATTGAATTTGAAACTGGGAAAGATTTTCCTGTACAAAGTGTTAAGTCCAGCTTTCGGTACTGGATTTAAGAAATCATTGCCCAATCCAAAGTTGAGCATATTTATATCTGATTTTCTTATAGACGTTTTATAGTTTTGGATCCTACATGCAGGTCTTTGATCTATTTTGAATTAATTTATGTACATGTATGAAGGAGCAGTCCTACTTTTTTTTTTTTAATGGGACTAGTATCCCAGGGCCATTTGTTGAAAACATTACATTTTTTTTTTCCACTGAATGGTCTCGAGACCCTTGTTGAAAGTCAATTGATCATAAACTTGAGGATTTATTTCTGGATTTTTAACTTCTGTTTCTTTGATCCAAAAGTTGATTCCTATACCAATATTACACTCCCCCCATTTTTTTAATAATTGCTTTGTAGTAAGTATTGAAATTGAGGATTGTGAATCTTTCAACATCGTTCTTTCTTACCAAAATTGTTTTGGCTACTATAGGTTTCTTAAATTTCCATATGAATTTTACAGTCTGCTTATCAGTTACCAAAGAGAAGTCAGCTAGAATTTTGACAGGAATTGAGTCTTGCCTTTAGATTAATTTGAGAGGTATTATCATGTTAATGTTATTAAGCCTTTCAGTTGCATAGAATCTTTTTCACTATTTTAGATTTTTAAATTTCTTTCACCAATGTTTTTAATTTTCAGAGTATAAGTTTGTACTTCTTTTTAAAATTTATTTATGATTCATTCTTTTTACTGCTATTGTAAATAGAATTTTTTTCTTAATTTTATTCTCAGATTGCTCATTGCCACAATCTAGAAATACAATTGATTTTTTTGTTTTGTTTTGTTTGTTTGTGACAAGAGTCTTGCTCTGTTGTCCAGGCTGGAGTGCAGTGGCACAATGTCGGCTCACTGCAACGTCCACCTCCCAGGTTCAAGCGATTCTCCTTCCTTGGCCTCCTGAGTAGCTGGGACTACAGGTACGTGGCATTATACCAGGCTAATTTTTTTTGTATTTTTAGTAGAGACGGGGTTTCACCATGTTGGCCAGGCTGGTCTCAAATTCCTGGCCTCAAGTGATCTGCCCGCCTTCACCTCCCAAGGTGCTGTGATTACAGGCGTGAGTTTGAAAATTTATAACTCAATCTACTTAATGAATGTGGACGTGTTTAGAACACTGTTCTCCTCCTCCCTGACCGGTCCTTTCTTCTCAATTTCTGTCTCTTGGTGAGTTGCCATTCTCTCTGTGCCCACTCATTGCCTTTTTAGTGTAGAGTAGAAAGAACATTGTTTTTCACAGTGGTTTTAGCCCTAACGGAGTCTATTCTCATGACACATCACTGGGCCCCCGAGTAAACTGGCTGTGTGGCTTGTCATCTCCCGAACTTATCATTATGTGAAAAGAGCAATTTTCTTGTTCTTTAAGTCAGTTTGATTTCAAGATTCTATAACTTCTAACTTTTCTGTATTTGAAATAACCCCAAACATATAAAAGCTGGTATTATTATATTTTCTCATTTGTAGAAAATAAAGGTAAGTGACTTGCAAAATACCACAAAGTCTGAAAGTAGCAGAACTAGGAACTGAATTTAGTTCTACGGATGAAATCAGAAAGGACATGCTTATGTAAAATGATTGACCATAGCGGAGTCAAACGTGGATTATATGCTGATAGAATTATCAGGAAAACAAAACAAAACTAAAAAAAACAGCAACATAATGCTCAGATTCCTCCATGACAACAGCTGCTTGGAGCTCAGCCCTGCATGCATCCGGAAGAAGCACGATGTCTTTAGTTCAACATATTCACCGTTTGTGTACAGTAATCCCATTGTCCTTCCTTATCTTGCATTGATCCTACTGGCATTTGAGTTTACCCCAATTGTGAGCTATTTCATGGCAGCACCTTATGTTTTTATCCCGCATAGTGGGGTTTCCAAACTTAGCTACCCTACAGTGGCTTTCCATTATTCTAGGTGTGGAGACGGCCAGCAAGCCAGACAAGACCAGGCCAAGGCCCAGGCTTGACCAATTCCACTGATAGAAAACACAACAAGCTGCTTTTTTTCTTTTCATTTCTTTTTTATTATACTGTAAGTTCTAGGGTACATGTGCACAATGTGCAGATTTGATACATAGGTATACATGCGCCATGTTGGTTTGCTGTACCCATCAACTCGTCATTTACATTAGGTATTTCTCCTAATGCTATCTGTCCCCCAGCCTCCCACCCCCTGACAGGCCCCGGTGTGTGAGGTTCCCTGCCCTGTGTCCAAGTGTTCTCATTGTTCAATTCCCACCTATGAGTGAGAACATGTGGTGTTTGGTTTTCTGTCCTTGTGATAGTTTGCTGAGAATGATGGTTTCCAGCTTCATCCATGTCCCTGCAAGGGACATGAACTCATCCTTTTTTATGGCTGCATAGTATTCCATGGTGTATATGTGCCACATTTTCTTCATCCAGTCTATCACTGATGGACATTTGCGTTGGTTCCAAGTCTTTGCTATTGTGAATAGTGCTGCAACATGCACATGATGTTTATAATAAGCTGCTTTTAAATGCAGACACTTGATTGCACCCTCAGTTCCTTGTTCCACACACCAAAAAGACAACACTAATAGAGTCAATGCAGCTAAGTGGTTTTGTAGTCTGCTGCTCCATTCCACAGGAGGAAAGGCAAAATGCCTCATGCCACATCAGAATCCAGGAGCTCATGCTTCATGGTAGCCTCCCAGGAGAGAGAGGGAGGAGAGCAAGGGAGAGTCTCAGAGCAGCTCCAGAGGCCTCCCCTCCTGTCATGTTCAAAAGCATCCCAAGGGGTTCTTCCCAGACTTAGATCAGGTGTGGTTCATGCTTTGCCTGAGTGGCCATTGTAGATACACACAATGGCAGAGTTCCTCTACAGGGGGCCTGTTTGCAAACATGGTCTACATTTTGTGAATGTGAAACTATAATAGAGAAAGTCAGAATTTTTCTTTCATTTTTTCACTCTAATAGAAAATTCAAAGGATATATAATTTTATATGTAGTATAAAATTAATAGTTGTCTATCACTTCTATGAACTAACGTTTTTCCATACAATTATCTTATGGTAAAAATATTGATATTTAGGTAGTAATATACAGATTTTCTGATGATATATAATCATTTTTAGCTTTTTCTGAAAACACATTATACTAATCATGCAAAGCTTTTGTTTCTTAAGAGTTGAATATGAATGATGCAAGATTTTTCAAGGGTCAAAAATACTGAATTTTCCCCTTAATTATTAATTTATGAAAGCCGAGAACAAAGAACATTATTCGCAATTTAGAGCCATTAGTGTAAGCTGTCAATTATTGAGCCCTACCCAATCTTAACCCCTTCTGCACTGTAATTTGGAGGCTTTGATTGCAGTTCACTGCAGGTCCTGTGCCTCGCCACTAATCCCCACTGCCTAGAGGTACTCAGAATTTAAACTACAATATTTGCTAACAAATAGAAATTTGATTTATCTCCTGGGAATCACCCCAGGACGTGGAGCAGTGAGGGCCACTCACAAGAACGTGTTTTTACCACAGTTTTCACCTCATTTGAAAACAGTTCCTTTTTAATTCTCACAAGGTCGCATTTCCCTTCCCTGTAAAATCCTTCTAAATTTCAAACCATTTTACTTAAATCAGGGTTTCTCAACCTGAGCATTAGTGACGCTGAGTTGGATCACTGTTCTGTGTGTGTGCTGTCCTGTGAAGTGCTGAGGTCTATCAGCATCCCTGGTCTTCACCCACTCGCTGCCAGGAGCAAGTCCTTCCCCAGCCCCTGAGTGCTTCTAACCAAAAATGTCTTCACATTTCCAGATTTTCCCAAGAATAAACTTACCCCCATTTGAGAACCACTGGTTCAGATGATTAGTGACACACGATACTCCTGATTCTTTTTTTAATTAGGTAACAGAAGATACAGATGTGGGGTGCAGAGAGTGGCAATTTTAAAGATATCACAAAGTTTAGGGACAGAAAATGAGCAATCCTCATTTTTAAAAAAAAATTAAAGCAACAATCCCCTTTGGCTTAGCAATTGGATTATCAAAGAAAAACTGTCAAGGTTTTCATGGAAATAAATAGCATTATCACTGAATTGTAAAAAAAAAAGAAAAGGAAAATAAAAGCTATCAACATTACTTACTCAAATTGGGTGGTTCAAAGGTGAAGTGAAAAGGTGGAAATATAGTAATGGTAAATGGATTCATATACTTTAAATTTGGAAACAGAGGTTTGAGGCCATGTTTTTCAAACACAAAAAGGATAAGAATTAGAAGTGAATATATTTCCAATAACATAGAACCGGAAATACCTCAAAGAGGCTGGACTTTTCTTTTTCTCATACCACTGTATAATTTTGTGATGGGTAGTCCAGAGATAGTTCAGAGAAACTTAATTGCCATCATTTTTTCTAAGGCTCAGTCTACCTTTAAGCTTCAGTCATTTTCGTCACCCACTGTCATCCTTACATTGTCTTACTGCAAGTGGCTTCTGTAACACCAGCCATTGCATCAACATCCCCAGGAACGGGAAAACTAGAAAGGATTAAATGCAACTGAGTCAGCATCTTTTTAAAGAGCTTCCCTGAAAGTTCTATTCAACAACATCCACTTATACCTGGTTATCCAAAACTATGACCCTTGGCCATCTCTATCTCTAAAAAAGATTGTGAAAAGTAATCTTTATTTTTACCCAGACTTATGGTTACCTCAACATGTCAGAGGGCTGTTTCTGTGACATACAAATGCAATGGATATTGTTCAAGCAATACAGGAGTACCTATCATAAAAAGATCGAATGTTAAGGATGGAGGAGGGATGTCAGGATTAATTTTAATGTATCACAAGCATGTTATTTATGAACTAGTTACAGGTTTTGACATTTGCTCAATATGTATTTTTAAATATGCTTATTTGTTTAACTTCCTTTTATTTGCTTACAAAATAAACTTTATGATACATGATAATGGAAAAATTCTTTTCCCTGATATATGCAATGTATGTGGATATAAACTGTCACTAAGCTGGTGATGTTGCCGTTTCATTGCATGGAATCTCTTTTTCTGCATCGAAGATAAAAGTTGTTGAAAGAAAAATTCAAGGGAGGTTTGGAAAACAGAAATGGAGCAGTAGCCACTATGCTCAGAAGGTTGTCATACAATGAGAAACAGACCCAGAGATGCTGGCAGCTTCCAGAACATTCTCTCTCTCCTTGCTCTGCCTCCAGCTCTTGTTGCAACCTCTGCCCCTGATGAACAACAATGACCCCAGCCCCACCCCCAGCCCAGAGGCACAGCTCTCTACAGACTTCTTTATACTGTGCCAGCTCCCCTCGCAATTGGTAAGGCAGGGCTTTTCAACCTCGGCACTATGGACATATTGAGCCAGACAGTCCTTTGTTGTGGTGATCTGTCCTGGACACTGCCAGATGTTTAGCAGCATCCTTGTCTTGTGTGTACTAAATGCCATCAGCACATCCCCAGTTTTGACCACCAAAAATGTCCCCTGGAAGGCAGGGAGAACAAAACCATCCCCTGCTGAGAACCACTGGAATGATGTTATGCCTATAACACATTCTCTATTCTACAACACTCGTTTCAGTTCTGCTTCCTTGGCTAAATTCTGGTTAATATAGAAGATAACTATAGAAGTACAATCAGATGATTCAATAATGTAGAATTTTTGCTGAAGACTTTTATTTTTTTTACTTTTATTTTAAGTTCAGGGGTATAAGTGAAAGTTTGTTACATAGGTAAACTTATGTCATGGGGGTTTGTTGTATAGATTATTTCATCACCCAGGTATTAAGCCTAGTACCCATTGGTTATTTTTCCCGATCCTCTCCTTCCTTCTACCCTCCACCCTCCAATAAGCCCCATCATGCATTGTTCCCCTCTATGTGTCCACGTGCTCTCATCATTTAGCTCTCAGTTATAAGTGAGAACATGTGGTATTTGGTTTTCTGTTCCTGCATAGTTTGCTAAGGATGATGGTCTCCAGCTCCATCCGTGTCTCTGCAAAGGACATGATCTTGTTCTTTTTATGGCTGCATAGTATTCCATGGTGTATATTTACCACGTTTTCTTTATCCAATCTATCATTGATGGGCATTTAGATTGACTCCATCTCTTTGTTATTGTGAATAGTGCTGCAATGAATATACCTGTTTGTGTTATAGTTTATATTCCTTTGGGCATATACCCAGTAATAGGATGTCCAGGTTGAACGGTACTCTTACACACTAAAGAATTCCAAGACTGAGGCTGGGTCTCTATTTTCCAGACAGAAAAATTAGAAATTGTGAAAATCTTGTTAGACTCTTCCTTGATGTAACAGGAAGTAAAAGAAAATTAAAATAGAAATAATTTCTCACCAAATGATGTAATGTTTTCCGCTGTTGTGCCTAGTGTTGGCTAAAATCAGCTTGTGTTCTCACAGAGCCACAACTCTCTGCTTGGGAAACACTCATGTATGCTAACTAAAGGATAGGAAGACCAGTTAGAGGATGTGAGTTATCCAAGATTTGGGCAGAGAAAGAACACATGTTATTAATTTTTACATTTTCTAAATTTCTGATATATCTATATTCATGATCATCCCAATATATGTCATCCTCTTTCAAGAATGCCCAGGCATTCAGGCATCCACAATTCTTAGACCCTGGAATACAAGCTATGTGGCCGTCTGCAGCTAGAGTACCTGTGTTTGGAAATCAGATATGTTCCCAGTACTCTGCAAGGTAATAGATTGATGTTGGTTTATCAAATAGTTATGGTACCCACCCTTGTGCAGTATAACATCTAATAGCTGATTTGCTTAAAGGGTCAAACACAACCACAACAAATCTAAGAAAACTTATTCTTCATCAAATAAAAAGTATGTATGGAGTTTACTTCAAATACGAAATATATGCACTTTGCCTTTTTTTTCTGTGTGTTTTTATTAATTGCATTTATCCACTAAGATGACCCTGATTCTCAATCTGACTCTGTCTTTCTGCTAAGATATAGCATCATTCCTATTCTTTGGGCCTATAATTGGAACTGATGAAAAACATAGTTCTTTGAGTTCAAAAACCAGTACATTGTTTTATTTCTGTCCATAGAGAAGTCAATACATTTTCCAGTCCAACTTTATTTTCTTTTCATTTTGTTGTTAAACAGATTTCCATGATTCTATTTGGAGTTACAAGGAAGCACAGGAAACATTAAATGGAAACATGCCGAGATCACGTAGCCAGATACTCCGGCAGCCTTGGACTTTGTGGACCTCATTTACATGTGCAACTCAGATTAGTTTAATGAGAAATAATGTTCACACAGCAGCAAGTGAACACGGCCTCAAGTCGAACTCAGGAAGTTGTACACTAACTTATATTTACTTTTCCCCTATTATTGCTCTTCTTTGATTTGTAATTCAAGGCTCTGGTTTAGATTCCTTACAGGGGCTGATACTTCAGTGGTGAGTGGAAAGACATCAATCTGTCTTAGATGAATAATGCCCTTAATATGCCTGGAGGCTTTGCTCTTTGTGCCTCATGATTGATTAAGCAAGTTCATTCTTCCATGCCTCTAAGCTCAGACGTGAAGTCTATGTCAAATGTATCAAGAGCTGGTCTCTACGGCCTTGAGTTAGGAGGATTGCTAAAAACACCCAGAACTAACAGCCAGTGGCCTGCTGGGCTGAGCTTGCAGCATACAGACCAATCATCTGAAGCAATTCCACGCAGCTCAAATCCCAAATCGAAAGCCAAATCTAAAAGTTTTAACTGACCTCTGCAGGCGGCATTTTATCTAATGGCCTATTGCTTCTCTGCTTTGCCCATTTAGTGCTGACCTGGGCAATGTTAACAACAAAAATAGTTGCTTATGTGAATTCAAAACCTGGAAGCATTCACATTCAATGCCATCTACCTGGTATCTCTTGGAAAAACTATGATATCTGGCAGTTCTCAGACCATGCGTCTGCCTAGCGACAAACAGGGAGAAAAAAAAGACAGCTTCTGCATCTATAGGGTGTGAAATCTGTAGTTCCCACAGTCCTTCCCACTGTCTTGGTCTGGCCAGCTTATTTTTACCAATATGGACCTAGTAAGCATATGAGTTTATGACTGTTAATTCTGTCTATATCTCATAAGTGCATAGTTTTATACTTACCTACTTTATTTGAGCCCAATTATATATTCAATGGCATCTTATACAAACCTCTCTTTCAAAAAATGACTTGAGGAAGTCCATACCTGTTTGAACAACTGTTCTTCATGGTTAAGGTCAGGCACTGTGAAGCCAGACTGTCTGGTTGTGTGTCCTACCACTGATGCTTACAAGCTGAATGACTGGGACAAGCCTCTATCTCTCTGAGCCTCAGTGTTCCTCTTCTGTATAATAGAGATACTAATGTTTCTCTCCTGTTAGGAATAAATTAGACTGTGACTGTTAGGAATAAATTAGAGAGTGCAGGCAAAGCACTTAGCATGCTGCTTTGCATAAAGGAACTCTCAGTGTTTGCTGTTACTGGTGCTGCTGTCATCACTGCTAATGCTGTTAATTATTTTGCTCGGCAGTGATGTATACAGCAGGGGTTATGTCAGGCACTGCCAACTACTTCTTTCATTCTAACCTAATCTCCCTCCTACAGCCAAAGTGATGTTTTAACCACAAATCAGATGGTGCTGCCTCCCTCTTTAGAAGAAATTTTGGTGTCTTCCTCCAAAGTATGGCATCCTCAGGCATCTCCTTCTCTGTCCAGCCTCCTCCTTCTGTGTGATATCTCATCTTCCAGCTCCAACTGAAGTAGGAGACTGGCAGGACTTCTTTTCTGGTCACAACCCTGCTGACCAAAACAGGATCTGGTCCAGATGGGATCTGGTGCAGATGGGTCCAGATCTGGTCCAGTGAAGAAACTGGCTGAAACCAGCAGATGGTGCTGAAAACAATCCGTAGCTGCCATCACTGTGACTTAGCATAAGACATTCCCACCAGTGTTATGACAGTTTACAATTGCCATGACAACAACCAGGAAGCCACCACCCCTTTCCACGACAGTGACCTGGAAGTTACCACCCCTTTTCTAGAAAGTTTGAAATAACCCACCTTCAATTTGCATTAACCACTCCATAATTTGCATATAATTGAAAGTAGGTATAAGTGGGTATGAATACCGTTGCCAATAGCCCATAGGCTGCTGACTCTGGACACACTGACTATGAGTTAGCCCTGCTCCACAAGGAACAGTACCATTCAATAAACAATTGCTGTCCAACACCATTAGCTCACCCTTGAATTATTTCCTGGACAAAGCCAAGAACGCTCCCAGGCTAAGCCCCAATTTTGGGGCCCACGTGTCCTGCATCACTGCCACAAGGATTTTCTTCAGTTCCTTGTCTTCCCCATGGTCTTTCTTGCTGCAGGCCCTTTAGATGTGCTTTCCCCTCTTTCTGGAACTCCTGTCTCTCCCATCTGCATCTTCTTATCTTCTACTTGTTGATTCACCATAGTGAGATCAATAGTCAGTTTCTCATGGAAGAATTCTCCAACCTCCTTAACAGGGACACGTTCCTTCATCATGAACTTTTAAGAATTTTTTTTTAATTTTAAATTTTTATGGGTACATAGTAGGCATATGTATTTATGGGATAAATACCTCATATTTTGGTACAGGCATGCAATGTATAATAATCACATCAGGGTAAATGGAGTCTCCATCCCCTCAAGCATTTATCACTTCTTTGTGTTAGGAAAATTCCAATTATACTTTTACTTGCTTTAAAATGAGCTTTTAAGACTTGTTCTTTCATGATTTACGTTTGTTAGTGTCATCATTTAGTATCCTCCAATGCATTGCATGCCCTAGGAGGAAATGCTTCGCTGTCTAGCCCAGAATTTGGAACCCCACCATTGAGCAATAAATATTTGAATGAATAATTAATAATGAATTAATAAGACTACAGCAGACTCACATTTTAATACTCTACTCAAACTCACTGTAAATACAATTCTGTAATAAATCCTATGTGAAGCAAATCTCCTACCTTGAAATTCAAGGGTAACACTGATTTCAGAACACCAGATTTAGTGATAATGAGGTCCATTCGAAATGCCAATATTTGGGGAAACATAAAAAGTGATCCTTGTGATAGCTGGGGTCCTTTGGCTGAAAATAACTTTCTATTTCTTGGTCTACTGAGGAGGGCTTAAATCTCAGGAGTTATCTTTGTTGTGTCCAGAAGATGAACAAACTTATTCAACATAAAAGTCTCTGAGAAAAATAAAGAGAATTCTGTTTTCTCCTTCCCCCTACATAATGTATTTCAGTATTTGGAAGTCTAAATGAAACACTGAAACCCCAGAGAGGTGAAGAGACTCTGCAACTCACATTAGGAACTCCTTGTCAATTGATCCTACTCAGATGTAACTGATTCTTCCCTTACTTACAAGATTTTTACAGCACACATTTCAACAGGCATATGATAAACTCTGTTAACGTTCTACGGTATATTCATTCTTCTTTTCTTTATTAAGGTGAGTAACTCATATTCTATTAAAAAGCAGGAATCTGGCTGGGTGTGGTAGCTGTCGCCTGTAATCCCTGCACTTTGAGAGGCTGAGATAAGGCAGATAACTTGAAGCCCGGAGTTCAAGATCAGCTTGGGCTCCATGGTGAAACCCTGTCTCTATAAAAAACACAAAAATTAGCTGGTCGTGATGGTGCGAACCTGTAGTCCCAGCTACTCAAGAGGCTCAGGTGGAAGGACTGCTTGAGCCTCGGAGGTCAAAGCTGCAGTGAGCTGAGATCCTGACACTACACTCCAGCCTGGGTGACAGAGTGAGACCCTGTCCCTGCCCAACCCCCCCCCACCAAAAAGCAGGAATCTTTCTTTTCCCCCTTAGCTTTCTTTGCAGTAGTAGGTGTCCATTTGACTCAATTTTAACTAATAATTACTAAGTATACATCTCCAGTGGAGATGGGGCTTCCTGGAAAGCTTTTGTGACACTGATACCTGGGAGACCTAATTGATATTACCCTTCCATATTACCTTTGTCTTGCATGGAATTAGGTTGTAATGGCTGGAGAGGCAGCACACATCTTAAAAACCATGAGGGAAAAATGAAAAGACTTGCATAGACATCTTCTTTGACTCCATTGAGCTTCTGAATGAATGCCAGAATTCTCTAGAGTTTTGTATAAGAGAACTATCACCTCTCTTTATGGAATCCTTATGGATTTTTTCCCATTACTTGCAATAAAAACAACCCCAATCAATAGAAAATCAGAAAACTCATCACAGTTTGCCGTAGATGATAGTGATGCACATTCCCATTTGTTCTTCCAGACTGAGAGTTCTTCAGGGATAAAAACTGTGATTTGTTCACCTGTATATCCTTATGGTGTCTTGCTTACAGTACGCTATTTTATTTTGAAAGCTAACCCCTGAGGTGATGGGATTAAGAGGTAGGTCAGCCTTTGGGAGGTGATTGGGTCACAAGGACTCTGTCCTCATGAACTGAATTAGTGACCTTATTAAAGAAGCTGAGGGAACTTGAGGGGTGTTGGTCTCACCCCTTCTGCTGTGTGAGGACACAGAACAATTGCGCCGTCTTTGAAGCAGAGGAGGAACCCTCACCAGACACTGAGTCTGTTGGTGCCTTGATCTTGAACTTCCCAGTTTCCAGAACTGTAAGCAGTAAATCCATGCTGTTTATAAATTACACAGTCTAAGGTATTTTGTTATAACAGCCTAAACTGACTAAGGTACCCAATTATGCCATTTTTGTCATTTTTACATCTGGTTCTATCGATTTATTAGCATCCTGGATAGGAGCTATTTTTTCCTGCTTCTTTTCATGACTGGTAATTTTGAATTGGATGATAGAAATTCTAAATCTTATACTGTGGGATGTTGGATATTTTTATATCCCCATAAATATTCTCTAGTGTGTTCTGAAACACAGTTTTGTTACTTAAACTAAGTTTGGTTTCTCAAGCCTTGCTTTTAAAGTTTGTTAATGTGAGTTTAAATTATATTTTAGGCTGATGAAAATTCATCCTCCTACAGGGTAAGCATCCCTAATCTGAAAATCTGAAATCCTAAATGCTCCAAATCTGAAAATTTTTGAGTGCCACATGACATGACAAGTCACATTATTTATTTTCACTGTATGAATGGTATGTCATATTTTTTAATTGTTAAGTACTTGTATGTGAATAAGTATAAGAAAATATTTGGGCCAGGCATGGTGGCATATGCCTGTAATTCTAGCAGTTTGGGAGGCCGAGGGAGCTCAGGAGTTCAAGACCAGCTCGGGCAACATAGCGAGACCTTATTCTACTAAAAATGAAAAAAAAAGTAATAACCAGGTATGGTGGTGCATGCATGTAGTCCTGGATACTCAAGAGGCTGAGGCAGGAGGGTTGCTTGAGCCTGGGAAATTGAAGCTTCAGTGAGAAAGGATTGTACCACTCCATTCCAGCCTGGGTAAGTGAGGAAGACCCTGACTCCCAAAGAGAGAAGGCAGGGGTGCGGGGGTGGGGGTGAGGGAGGGAGGGAGAAAGAGAGAATAATTGCGTATTGGTAGCATACAAATTCAGAATCAGGAATGATAGCTTTGGCAAACCTTTGCAGATTGTCCACATAGGTTGCTGAAATAGTGACACCTTGGCTTTCTGACAGTTAAATGTACACAAACTTTTTTCATGCACAGAATTATTAAAATATTGTATAAAATTACCTCAGGCTATGTGTATAAGGAATATATGAGACATAAATAAATTTTGTGTTTAGACTTTGATCTCGTCCCCAGGATGGCTCATTTTATATATAAATGCAAACATAAAATTTGAAAAAATACCCAAAATCCAAATCACTGTGGTCTCAAGTGTTTCAGATAAGGTATACTCAACCTGTACCAAGGGAATAGCTTTCTGAGGACTCTGTTTGATTTCCCAATTATTAAAAGGTGCTTACATGTTTGTCTAGTTGGAGCAAAATCTAATCCGAAGCCTGTATGACTGCAGGCCTTCTGAGTATAATTCCGCATACTTCTCTTTAGGCACCCCTCCCTGGCCTCAGACGGTTTGCAGATTGGAACTCAGACAAAGACTCCAGGGGGCTCCTCTTCAGGTGTCCACAAAATTCTTCCATGTAGCTCCCTCCACTCTATTGTTTTTTTCTCACAGCTAATGGCTATCTTGGCTTATCTAAGCTGTGTCCCCTCAACTCAGTGAAACCATAAGCCATTCTGTTTTATGCTGCAGCCTACATAATCTCCTAATAGCTGGGGTAATTACAGGGTTTACTAGTTCCTCTCTCTGGGATCAGTGTTTTGCACTACCCATTACCAATGCCTGGAAATCAGTTTTTCATTTGTTTGTTTTTGTTTTTCTTGTTGTTTTGAGTCAGAAGGTTAAATTCAGTCACAATTACTCCTTTGCGACCAAAAGAAATGTACCTTTTGCAATTATTTTAGAGAAGTACTTGTAGTGATCAGTATTCTGGTATCCACAAGAATACTAAAAATTATTCCAATAATTTAACTTGGCAAGTATTTAGAAACAAACATTGTGTGCCAGTCACTATACCTGACTCTGATCTTTAACAAATGAATAAAATCCTTTCTCTAGCCTCATGGCAGTCACAGTCTTCCTAAAGAGAAAACAAACATCTCAAATGCAAAGTGATAAGTGTCATAAAAGAGACATATGAAGAACATAGTAAGAACAGATCTATTTGCACAAATACAGAATTTACGCAACAGCTACCAAAAAAAAACCACAAAAAAACAAAATAAAACACACACACACACAAACTTGACTCACTGGATTTATGCCAGAAGGAGGCTTGCTTATTACTGTCCTGGTTAGCCCAACATTTATGGAGATTCTAAATATACGGGCACCTCAAATACTATAACACTTTTTTATTTTTATTTTTTTAAATGTGAGACAGAATCTCATTCTGTTGCCTGGGCTGGAGTGCCGTGGTGCAATCTCAGCTCACTGCAGCCTCTGCCTGCTGGGTTCAAGTGATTCTCCTGCCTCAGCCTCCCAAGTAGCTGGGATTACAAACACCCGCCACATAGCCCGGCCAATTTTTGTATTTTTAGTAGAGACAGGGTTTCACCACGTTGGCCAGGCTGGTCTTGAACCCCTGACCTCAAATGATCTGCCTGCCTAGACCTCCAAAGTGCTGGGATTACAGGCATGAGCTGCCACGCTCAGCCTATTATAATTATTATTTATTATAAATATTCACTGGTACTTGGGAACTTTCTAATACTGATTTTTTCATGTGAAGAAAGATGAGTGAAAATTTTAAAATTTTTATTTTCTTTCCCCCAGACTGCTGCAACCTGAAACAAGAAGTATTTCAGGAAAATCCAATCCCCTCTTGGAGGACAATGAAGATCTTTCCACAAAATTTAGTCAATAAATATTTACTGAGTTCTCACTGTGTTCTTGGCATAATCATCACTGGAAAATAAAACACACAGAAAATGATCATTTTGTCATTTTGATCCTTTGTCCACATAGACAGTCAGGAAATTTATGCCAACTTATAACACTATTCTCAGAGCAACATCTATTTACTGCATCCCTTCAGTAAGTCATATATGCCCAGAAACCTTGAAAATATGACAAATTTTAGTATGCATACATATAAAAGATAACTTGTATTAGCTGAGATACGTGGGTTTATTACCAATAAGGATCAAGTTTTTGAATATTAATTGAAACGTAAAACTACAAAGATTTACTATTCTGAAAATTGAGTACTATAAATTGGTCCCACAGAATTAAAAGGGCATTTGAAATCAACATTTGACTCACATAAAAATATAAAAGTTGGGAATTATTAAAAGACAAACTATCATTCCAGACTCTTTACCCTGATGTTTCTAATCTTCAAAGTAGCTTATAGCCTCATCAAATATAACTGGACTGATCTAACTCCACAAAGCCTGTATTCTTCTGTTTGTGCTGCTGTAACAAAGTATCTTAGACTAGGTAACTTATGAAGAACAGAAATGTATTTCTTGTGGTACTGGAGGCTGGCAAATCCAAGATCCAGTTGCTGGTATTGGTGTCTGGTGAGCATTGCTCTCTGCTTCCAAAATGGCACCCTGTGGCTGGATCCTCAAGTAGCAGAAGATGCAAAGGCAAGAAAGTACTCCCTTCAGAGTTGAACCCTTTTATAAGGATGCTAATTCCCTTTATGAGGGTGGAACTCTCATGACTTAATCACCCCCCAAAAGCCACAGCTCCTAATACTGTTGCATTGGGGATTAAGTTTCAACATGAACTTTAGAGAGAACACCATCATTCAACCCATAGCAGGGTACAATATTATTAATACCCCTGGAATTGCACAGAAAAGAGACACTGGCCTTTCCCTTCAAACATACATACACTGAAGGCTCTAGGTTAACAGGCCAACACCAGGAGTGATAAAGGAGGCTGGATCCTATCACCCAGAAGACTTACCTCTTCAGAATTTCAGATGGCCCTAGCCTGAATTTTTATGGGCATCCCAGTGAGTGGGCTCCAAGACGCAGACCCTTCTCTGGGCCTCAGTTTCTCTCTTCTCTTTTGTGCTTTGATCTCTATTCTAAAATCCAGCCTTTTATAGGGACAGCTGGAGCATGTGGGGAGACGGTGGTTCAAATATTTCCTGTAGATTGTCCATTTCAACTCCAACGGAGCCACTGTTCTCAACAGAGCACCCAGAGAGGCGGCAAGCAGCTGTGCCCCTGAAATGTTCAAGGGCAGCCAAAAATGTTTTGGAATCTTGATCAAGACATCTGGTGAAGTCATCTCTAACATAAAATCTAATTTGGGATGAAATATAGCTGTATGTAAATAAATACATCCTATGTATGCACAGCAAAGTCCTCTAACTATAATTTAATGACCTATATGTTTTAAATGTTTGAACTAAAAGATGATTTACAATTACATAAACTGAAATATTAACTTAAAAATAATTTTGTATTTAGGAAACCTAGATATAAAGAATAATAAAAATAATAAACAAGTAGAATTAAAAAAAATGTAGCTGAATACAAATTAGTTATACAAAAATCAGCAGCATAACAATATCATAATAATTATAAAAAGGACCTAAAAATGCAAATGGGAAAAAATCTCTAAAGTGACAATTATGTAATGTCTAGGAAAAATGAACAAAAACTTCAGTCTTTCCTTTTCAGTGTAGCTGTCCATAGAGATGCAGTCTCAGACCTGAATTCTATCTCTTAAGATAAGTCTCTATTTCCTGATGCTCGCTACCATATCTCCTTCTTGCCCTGGATTAGCAGAGAATGCAAAGCAAACACCTCTCTATAAAATTACAAAATGATTAAAATTGGGTATATAAACTTTGAAATGATTAGTAAGGGATATTTGCAATATTATGTACTGTCAAAACTTTGGCAGTTCACACAATCGGAAATAAATGGCATACTGATCATATTTTCTAATTTTATTTGGATTTTTAATTCTAGTTTTTAACTCTAATTCAATTTCTATATGAAATTTAAAATATTATAAAAATCAGAAGGTTTTCTGCAATTTTTTAATATTGTTATAAAGGAGATATAAAATCATAATAGAAACTAAAAAATTGAGAACAAAAGAAAATATCAAGTGATAGAGATTTTTTATGTGTGCCTCATGTGTGTCCATGTGTTTTTATGCACATCAATGTAATAAAATTTTAAAAAAGAAAAGGAAACATTTATTGACTCTGATAAAATGAGCACATTGACTGATTGTGCCCCATTGCTTTGTGGCATATGTCACCACCAGGAGATAAGCTCTGAAGATTTATTATTTCATCGTGGGTCTTTGAGGTTGGGGAATCATTTATTTTGTTTTCCTCTCATTTGAACTGACCTTGATTTCGTAATTCTGAAGATAGTAAAAATCATCTTATGTCTTACAAGATATGTGACTGCTTCACACTTTCATCATTTTTAGGCTGTATTATGAAAACATAAAGTACTAAATCAAGTACATTTTGCCTGAACACCCATTTTGTGTTAAATGCAGCAACATTGCCACATCTATCCATCATTAGCCATCTCTAGGTAACCATTCATTCGGTATCAGACAGCTTGGAGGTTGTGCTGCAGTAACAATTGTAAAATTTGGTGGCTTGACAAAATAAAACTTTTTTTTTCCTTGCTCCTGCCAGTCTGATGTAATTGAGTGTTTTTTGTCTAGGCACAACCTTTTAATTTGGGCTGCATGTTTTTTACAAAAAGCTGGTACACTATATTACAGTCATCTACTTTCACCAATCCACATGAATGAAAAAGGAGAACTATTACATTTTGTTATTAAACAGTCTTTTATGAAAAATATGCAAAAGTATTATCATATACTCTCACTTCAGTGCAAGAAAGACTTGGAAATGCAATTTCCTGTGAACCCAGAAAGAGGAGAATAAATAGGATACAGAAAGCTCACTGTAGTGTCCAAGTGATGGGTTTGCGCTACAGATACACACATTGTTTCCCAATAGGTCTGTTATATTTTTAACATCTCCTCAAGGTTGATAATGTTGGTCTGTAACCAATACCATAGGGATTTGTTGAAATTAAAATTATTTTAATATGCTCTTTTCCTTTGGCATAATAAGCTGTAGAGATAAAGCTGGAAGTCCCTGAAGCTGTCTTTACTAACAAGCTTTAGAAACTTTATAAATATGAAGCTCCCAGACAGAAGGCAGATCTGACGATCTCCCCAAACTAACTTTGCCTGAAGGCTATCTTACCCCTGGATTTTCCAGTTATATGAGACAATTTACATTTTAGGATTTTAAACCTTAAAAATATATGGGTCTTTTAATAATATTATAGATTCAATCCATATCATGGGTGTTTGTCAGTGCTTACAACAGTGATCTACAGATTTAATGCAATCTCAAAATTCCAATGCATTTTTTACATGTAAAGTACTTTTATTTTTGTTTAACCTTCAGCTTGCCAGCTTCTTTCCTTACGCAGCATTTGTCTTGTTTGGATACTTACCTAAACCCATATTAGAAATGTAGTGCAAATTACTTAGTGATTCCACTTTGAATCTGTAGCCACATGACTAAGATGTTTTGAATATAGGCCTATCTGTATGCCAGATAAAACTTTAGGAACTCTTACTGTCTCTTCTTTCACAGAAATTCTACCTCTATCCTGATGTGGTTGGGTTGATTAAGAAAATTAAAGGCCATAGGCCATGGGCTTTCATAAATACAACAAAAGGAAAAATTTTTCCAACTACCTCTAGGCAGTAAGAAGTCTTTCTTTCAAGTACCAAATCAATTTCTTCAACCATACAATGTGTTCTATCTAATTTGATAGTTTTCAAATATAATCCATTAACAACAAAATATCATAAAATTATGACTATGAAAACAGAGTAAATGGAATAATTCAAATAATGAGTAAAATAAAAGGACATTTATTATGGAATTTGTAATCAGTATATAATTATATATTTAAATTTTTCTATACATACATAAGATCACAGACAAAAAAGTTAACTATAATTTCAAATTTTCAGTGACTTGGGCTATTTAATCACATTTGAAAGTATTCACTTTATTATTTACTTCAAACAGTGATCTATACGTTTGTTTAGACGATAATATTTAAGGGCCTTTTCTTCTTCAGGATAATAAAAAAATTAAATGATGCATTGAAGATTCTACTAAAGAAAATTTACTTTTTGAAAATGGCTTCTGCACGGAAGATTTGTAAGAATGTTTCTAGTTAATTTCAAATCTTCCCAGGACCTCTCTGTTCAAAGACATATCATCTTTGTAATAATTTATGTGAATACTTTACAAATAAAAAATTAATCCACGAGACTGTGTTACCGTAATCACTAACCTTAACAAGCCCCCCAAATATTTTCTATATCAGTTTTCTTGATTATAAAATGTCAATAACATGGGCACACTCTTAATATAACAGTCTATTTAATTACATCAGTTTCCCATCAAGCCACTAAAGTCATTTAATAATTATATTGGCCATCTCCACTGACTAGGGGGAGGCTCTTCCACTAAGAGCTCCCATGGATTCCTCGGCTCATTTTTCTCGCCAGACTTAGTTCATCTGCAGTGTGAAGAATCACCTCTTGTACTTGACCACCTTGAAGTTGATCTTCTAATTTCTTAACAGCTGGTTCCACTTTACCCATAGCCAGCTTCTCCTTTATAATCTGTTCTGTATACTTTCTATATGCTGCATTTTTAGGGATTTGCTCAAGAACATCAATAATCTTTCTGTACCATACTCTTAGCCTCTTACATTTTAGCAGACTGGCTCTAGTTGTTTTGCTCCTGTGGACTCCCACATACAGCCAGTCCCACAAGGCCCAGTGGTCTTCTTCAGCACACCCAACGTGACAGTGACCCAATGCATTTTTTACAGAATCAATTAAAAAAATTCCTAAAATTCAAATGAGACCACAAAAGATTCAGATAGCCAAAGCAATCTCGAGTAAGAAGAACAAAGCTGGAGGCGTCACACTTTCTGATTTTACAGCATGTTAAAATGCTAGAGCAATTAAAGTGGTTAGTAATGACCTAAAAACAGACAGACAGGCCAGTGGTGCAGAACACGGAGCCCAGGAATAAATCCGCACATTTACTGACAACCAATCTTCACCAAAGTTTCCACGAACACACAGTGGGAAAAGGATAGTCTCTTCAATAAATGGTGTCAGGAAAATCGGATATCCACATGCAGAAAAATGAAATCGGACCATTATTAAACATCCTGTTCAAAAATAAATTCAAAGTGGATTAAATATTACATGTAAGACTGAAAGAAAATAACTATAAGAAAACGGAGAGGAAAGTCTTGTTGATTTTGGTCTCAGTAAAGATGTTTTGGATGTCACACCAAAAGCACAGACTGAAAAAGTAAAACAGCACAGACTGAAAAGGTAAACAGAAAAAGTAAAAGGAAAAAAAGTAAAAAGAAAAACAGCACAGACTGAAAAAGTAAAACAGCATAGACTGTAAAAAAAGTAAAACAGCACAGAAAAGTAAAAAAGTAAAAAAGTAAAAAAAGTAAAAAAAGTAAAAAAGTAAAAAAATTAAAAAAGTAAAAAAGTAAAAAATAAAAAAGTAAAAAAGTAAAAAAAGTAAAAAAGTAAAAAAAGTAAAACAGCACAGAAAAAGTAAAACAGCACAGACTGAAAAAGTAAACAGAAAAAGTAAAAAGAAAAAAAGCAAAAAGAAAAACAGCACAGACTGCAAAAGTAAAAAGCACAGACTGAAAAAGTAAAATAGACAAAAGTAAAATAGACAAAAGTAAAACAGACAGGTAGGATTGCATCAAACTAAAATGCTTCAATACAGCAAAAGGAACAATCAACAGATTGAGAAGGCAATCTATGCAGAGGAAAAAATATTTGCAAACTATACATCTGGTAGAGTTAATATCCAAAATATATAAGAAACTCAAACAACAGCAAAAAAAAAAAAAAAAAAAAACCCAAGTTTAAAAATGAGCAAACGACCTAAATAAACATTTCTGAAAAGATATATATAAACGACCAAGAGGCATATGGAAAGGAGCTCAACATCACTCGTCATTGGGGACATGCACATAAACCACAATGAGATACCACCCACAATTGTTAAAATGGCTAATATCAAAAAGACAGAAGATAATTGCGGGCAAGGATGTGGAGAAAAGGAAATTCATGTATGCTGTTCACAGGAATGTAAATTGGTACAGCCAGTATGGAAAACAGCATGAATCTTCTCCTCCTTAAAAACAGGAGTACTAGATGACCCAGCAATGTCTCTGCTGGATGGATATCCAGTGAAATTGAAATCGGTATCTTGAAGATATGTCTGTATTTCCATGTTCATATTTCCATGTTCATTCCAGCATTATTCACAAAATCCAAGATGTAGAAAACAATATCTGTCAACAGCAGAACAGATGAAGAATATGTGACAAACACAAACACACACACGTGTGTGTATCTATCAATGTGTATACATACACATACACACACACACGCAGACACCACACACATATACAATCATGCTCCACATAATGCCATTTCAGTCAGTGACTAACTCTAACTGCATATACAGTGGTGCTCCCATAAGATTATAATGGAGCTAAAAAATTTGTTATCACCTAGTGACGTAGCTGTGGTAACATCATAGCACACATTTTTTTTTATATAAATTTAGCATAGCCTGGCAGGGCACGGTGGCTCAGGCCTGTAACCCTAGCACTTTGGGAGGCCGAGGTGGGCAGATCACCTGAGGGCAGGAGTTCGAGACCAGCCTGGCCAACATGGTGAAACCCTGTCTCTACTAAAAAACACAAAAATTAGCTAGGCATGGTGGTGCATGCCTGTAATCCCAGCTACTCAGGAGGCTGAGGCAGGAGAATGGCTTGAACCCAGGAGGTGGAGGTTGCAGTGAGCTGAGATTGCATTGCACTCCAGCCTGGGCAACGAAAGAAACTCCATCTCAAAAAAAAAAAAAATAGCATAGCCAAAGAGTACAGTGTTTATAAACTCTGCAGTAGTGTACACACTCACTGACACACCCAGAGCAACTTATAGTCCTGCAAGATCCGTTAATGGAAAGTGCCCTAAGGGTACCATTTTAAAATCTTTTATAGTATATTTTTACTGTATTTTTTAAATGCTTAGATATGTTCAAATACACAAATATTTACCATTGTGTTAGAATTGCCTACAGTATTCAGTAAAGCAACATGCTGTACAGATTTGTAGCCTAAGTGTATAGTAGGCTATGCCATGTAGGTTTGTGTGAATGCACTCTGTGATGTTTGCACAAGGATAAAATTGCCTAAGGACACAATTCTCAAAACGATCCCCATCAGTAATGATGCATGACTGTATATGTGTGTATATACATACACATAACATGTGAATTCATACATATATATGTGATGAAATATGTATACGTATGTGTGTGTGTGTATATATATATATACCGGAATATTATGTAACCTTTAAAAAGAAGAGAATCTTGTCATTTGCAACAATATGCATAAACCTGGACAACAATGTTAACAACACAATGTTTCTGAAACCATCTATAAAATTTCTGCCCTCCCCTCCAGTAAAATAAGCCAGACATGAAATGACAAACACCGTGTGACCTCACTTGTACATGGAATCTGAAATAGTCAAACTCATAAAAGCAGACAGTAGAATGGCGGTTGCAGGGTCTGACGATGGATGAAATAGGAAATGTTGGTCAAAGGGGACAGACGTGAAGTTATAAGATGAACACGTTCCGGAGATCTGCTGTATGGCAATGTAACTAGAGTTAATGGTAGTATATTGCATACTTGAAATTTGCAAGAAGGTAGGTCTTAAGTGTTCTCACAACACACACACACACACACACACACACAAAAGTTCATTATAAATAAAATGATAGATGTGTTAATTATGGTGATTATTTCATAATGTATTTGTACATCAAAACATCAAGTTGCAAAATTTACGCTACATTTGTTTGTATCAAATGGCCCACTTTAATAATATATTTAAATAAATATATATATATATATATATACACAAATTTTTGAGACAGCTTCTCACTCGGTCACCCAGGCTGGAGTGCAGTGGCACAATCTCAGCTCATTGAAACCTCCACTTCCTGGGTTCAAGCAATTCTCCTGCCTCAGCCTCCCAAGTAGCTGAGATTACAGGTGCCTGCCACCACATTCAGCTAATCTAAATATATAATTTTTATTTGACAGTTATATCTTAATAAAGCTGGAAAAACTCTGCACAATAGAGGCCCGTAGTCAATGTAATTATAAATCTTTGTAATAAAGCACAATAATATAGATATTATTATACATATATAACACAACTATATATATATCACAACTATATATATATCACAGCTATATATATATCACAGCTATATATATATCATAGCTATATATAATATATATAATCTATATTATAGATGATATATAATCTATATTATAGATTATATATAATCTATATTATATATAATCTATAATATAGATGATATATAATCTATAATATAGATTATATATCATCTATATTATAGATTATATATCATCTATATTATAGATTATATATAATCATCTATATTATATATTATATATAATCTAGATATATATATTATATATTATATATATATTTTATATAAATATATAGATTATATATAATATATATATTTATATAAATATATTATATATAAATATATATATAATTTTATATAAAATATAAATTTTTATATAAAATAAAAATTTTTATAAAATTTTATATAAAATATATAATATATTTTATATATATATAGTTTCAGTACAGCAAAGGACTTTAGAAGCTCTAATTTCCTGTGTAGAGAAACCGAGGTCCAGCAATGTGAACTGGCCTGACAAGAAACTCACACATCCTACCCCCTGAATTGCAATCTAATATTATTGCTAGTACTTCAGGATAGTCTTGAACTATCCGGAGCAGATAATGGGAGTAATTCAGGGACAGTGAATTTAGCACTCGCTGTATTCATAGTATTTGACACTCCACTTAACATGCATTTGAGATTTGTAGCCTCTGACAGTGACTGCTTCCCACAGTAAGTGAGCTGTGCTGAAGGGGAGGAAGTCGACATTTTCTAGGTATTTTCAGAAGCATACTGCATTAGTAACTTTGTCATATTCTGCCTCCACTTCCAATGGTAAATTTCAGCAAGCTTAGATGTCACTCTGTTTTAACCTAGAGTCTTTCTGGAACAAAGGAACTATATGATGCTTATGGGGTTTAGAGAAGAGAGTAATGAGGCAAAAATAACTGACTTAAGCCATTTAGCTGAAAGTGAAAATATATTATTTCAGACATTAAGTCTCTAGATCTTTCCCTGGTGCCCAGAATTCATGTTTTCACAGTTGGAAAGAGCAAAAAAAAAAAAAAAGAAATAGGACATTTATCTTAAGATTTTCCAGAACAGACACGAACTAGGCAAATATTGTGGTTGTCTCAATTTACTTTGCTAAAATATTCATCCAAATTCAATGAGTTTGTCTCCTGTGTGTCTTTGAATATAGCTGTATCACCATGAGGGCTTGGGCATTCTGGTTAGAAAATCAGTCATCCCAGATTTAAACCCGGCCCTTTTAAAAGCTCCTCATCGCACCAGCCTAAATCACCACGCTAATAGTCACACTACTTTCTAGCATCTCCTTTGATGCCAGATTCAAATGTATCCTCATCTTTATAATAATTACGTGCTTCATGCAAAGTTTCCAGGACTGAAGTATTTTTGTTTTCCCACTTCAGCCGCTGACTGCATCCTCAACATGAGTTCTGCCTTTGAACATGTATTTAAACTATTCCGGCTGGGCATGGTGGCTCATGCCTGGATTCCCAGCAGTTTGGAAGGCCGAAGCAGGAGCATTGCTTGAGCCTAGGAGTTCGAGACCAGCCTGGGCAACAGCGTGAGATCACTGTCTCTAAAAAAGTAAAACTTAGCCAGGCATGGTGGCTTGTACCTGTAGTCCCAGCTACTGGAGAGGCTGAGATGGGAGGATCACTTGAGGCCATGAGGTCGAGGCTGCAGGGAAGTGAGCCATGATCACACCGTGGCAGCACTCCAGCCTGGGTGACCACGTCTCTAAAAAAAACAACAACCACAGAATTCTTTTCATTGCTATTCATTTCCGTTGTTTATGTGGAACTTGAATATTTTCTAGACTTCAAGTAACAAATCGTGTGTGTGTGTGTGTACAAATAAATACAAATATACGTATACATACACGTGCACACAAACACATACATAGGAGAAGCTTGGAGAGGCAGAAACACACAGTGGAAAGGCTTAAGCATGTTTATACTGTCTTTCCTGCATTCTTCAGCCATGAATGGGCATTGGTTGCAGGCATATGAAAGGGCTCCAACTCTCAGTATCTCCCAGTCCTGTTTATCCACCCAATAGGCCTTCAAATATAAAGGAGGCTTCATCTATTGCTTAACTTTTCAAAAAGATTACTACGATAACATGGTACAATTGAAAAAATACAGTCTTTCTATAAATATGCTGCTATAAGCACACAGTTTAGAGGTCTAAAAATATTATAGATGTCCCCAAAGTAAAACTCTACGGCTGATTACTTCATTTCAAAAAATTATTTAAAATAATGTGCTTTTAAAAGTGTTTTTAGGGGCTTCCAGTCTACACAGCAGTAGCTGAGGGGTTGCTGATATCCTACTTTCCCTGACTATGAGAATAATGAGAATAAGCCAATATGATAATGATTTAAATATATGGAGTGTTTAATTTGTGACAAACTATTCACATGAATTATCTAATTAAATAAATACTGAAAATAGTCCTGAAAGATACTTTATCCCTATTTTAAAAATTAGAAAACTGAAGCAACTCGTTAAGTGTCATAAATGCTGTCTTGTGTTATAAAACCCTGATATTGACTCAGATGATCTGAGATTGGCAGGAGTAATTGCCCCTCTGATGTCTCCAGCTGGACACTTTCTACTCCATTGGTGTGTACCATGTTTTACAAGCATATATTATGTCAACATTATACAACCTCATCAAGTGTGGTAGAAAACCCCAGTAGGACAGCATATTAAGTTTACACAGGAAGTTTAAAATATACCTTATTTACCCTATCTTAGATCTACACAGTATCTATTCCCCTTCATCAACAAACTAGAAATTTCAAGGGAGAATTGAGAAAGTACTTATTTACCTAGGGGGTTATGTTTTTTGCTCATGTAGGCAATTCAGTATATTTTGTTTCTATACAGTTGTCCTTGTAGTAATCCTAGACATGGTTACTGTTGGCAAAAAGCAATACTCACAGCTCCTTCCTTATTTTGAAATTTCTGGAATTCTCTGCTAAAGTCAGAACCACCAATTCGTTTATACAGCTAATTTGTCTTCTTCTCTGAGTGCATTTCTTTTGGTAACACTTCACATTCACATTATCAAATCAACAGCAGATATAAAGAACTGGTTTGATGATGTGGCCTTGATCTAGGTAACTAAGCAAGAGAGAAAATAAATAGGAAATATAGCCATTGCCTTTGATGAGACAACAACTATGGAAACTAAAGTCACTAATTCCTCAAGAATAATAATCATACACAACTACTGAGTTTTTTAGAGGATGAGTTTTTTCTTTGTATTTGAGATATATCAAAATTGTTTTTATAAAATAACCAGTCATTGTAGCCATAACGCCAGATATAATATGAGAAAAAAAACACTTTATTGTGTTATACTCCTATACTTTTGAAGATTGTTTATTATAGAAGCTAATCTTACTTACCTTGACCAAATAAATTGTATACACTGTCTAAAGTATATTCACACGTGTGTCATGTTATTGTCCTTACTCTGAGAGATCTTGAAGCTTACCCCTTTTTGCATGCTTTTCTTTCAGTTGGGTTCAACAAACTTTTTTACTATCATGTATCTGGAAACTTATGGATAGAAACCAAAAAATGGTCATCACATACTTAGAGTTAGAAATTACACACTTTAATATGTAGATGTTTGTCACAGGGTACAAAGTTTCAGTAAGAATGAATATATTTTGGAGCTCTAATTATACCATGTTGACTATAATTAACAATACTGTATGGTATTGTATATTTGAAGGTTGCTAAGAGAGGAGGGCTTCAATGTTTTCAACACACACACACACACACACACACACACACACACACATAACTATGTGAGGTCTATATGTTAATTAGCTTGACTATTGTAATCATTTCACAATGATCATTGTATATCGAAACACCACATTGTATGCCTTAAACATTTGTATTTGTTAATTATACCTCAATAAATCTTGGAACAATAAATGAAAGAAATCTTATTTGGTTACAAAAATCAACCATGTAAAATAGGTACCGTTAGAACTTTTTGTTAAAAGTAAACTTGATACTAATGAAGAGCATATATACCCCAAAGTGCTCAAAACATAAGTATTCAGATGCATTTGATGTAAAGGACTAAGCTAAATATGTCAGACTGGATTTTAAAACTATAAGCTGCTTACAAGATGTATACGTTTCAAATTAGAACACAGAAAATATGAAAGTCAAAGCATGAAAAAGGATATAACACAAAATTCAAATATATAGCTATATTAATATCTGATCAAGTAGCAAATTAAGAAATATTATTATAATTAGAAAATCATGTTTCATAATGAGAAAGCACCAATTCACCAGAAAAAAATAATTATTCTCAACTTCTATGTGCCTAGTCATGTAGCCTCAACATATATAAGGCAAAAAATTAACATAAATAAAAGGAGAAACAGGCAACAGAGTTCAATGCACTGGAAGATATAACAATTCAAAACTTATATGCGTCTATTAACATAACCTCAAAATACATAAAGCAAAAATTACCAGAAATAAAATATATATAAGCAGTTATACACTTGTAGATTACACACTTACATGCCCTTTTCTTGGGGAAATAACAGAGTTATTACGCCTCAAAGATGGCTGCTTTGGGATTTGAGATGAGTATGATAAAAAAACTAGACGTGTGCTAACCACTATTTGCCTCCTTCTGCCCAGCCTTCCCTTCCTGGCTCTTTAATCTTCACCTGCTTCTATATTTGGTTTTCTCCATGTTAACTTTGTGGTTTTGAGGAATGAATTAATGGTGCTTTATCTTTGTAATTCCAGAAACACATGCATGATACCTGCACGTCATAAGTATTCGATAAATATTTGAGGAGTAAATAACACTAGTGTTTCATACCACTTTAATATGTAGATGATTGTCACAGGGTACAAAGTTTCAGTAAGAATGAATAGTGAGGGAATCAGCATTTTTGGTTTTAAACATTCTGGGTATGGTCCTTTGGTAAAAATTCTCACTCTTATTTTATAGTGAGATGGAATATACCACACCTGGGGAGAGATGTTTGGGCACTCTTGGCTAGTATCAGTGCAAAGCCTTAAATAGTTAATTACGTTTTTTGCACTCACTATTTTTCCAAAAAAAATGCATGTTTAACTTAAATAACCCCTGTTATCCTTCATTTTGCCATCCACCATTGCTAAATGTGTCTTGAGCGTCTTGAATGATTTCAATGGACATATAGAGGAAAGGAAAATTACTACTTTCAGAGCCAAACCGTGTGTATGCGTGTGTGTGTCTGTGTGTGTGTGTAAGAAATATATCCAGTTTTATAGACAAATTGTCAGTCTGAGTATTGGCATTTTTATCTTTCCAGATGTCTGATCAATACATTGCTCACCAAATAACTCTGCACTAGTTAAGTCATCCCCAATAATGGTTTCTTTACAAGAAAATAATGAATATTGCAAACCATTTGTTCTGACAAGTAAGTTCTTCCGTGCATCATCTTTGATTGCCAATTTTATGCAAATATGTATTTATATGGTCAGTCTACAGCACTTCACATTACTGAGAAGCATACAACAATTATTTATGATATAATAATTTTCATTTTTCAAGAACTGAATGATACATGAAAGAGAATGCACAATTACATTGAATGTTGTTTGCCATTAATACACTCTGAAATCCTTCAGTAGAGAATGATACTCAAATTTAAGCAAGGCAGCTCATACACACTACAAAGCTATTTTCAGAAAGATTAAAAAGATTTGCACTTCCATCAACAAAGAAAGATATAAAACAAGATAAGTGCATATTGAAGGATTCTTCTAATATTCTCCCATGAAAAAACACGAGAATATCAGAGGAATCATAAATAGCCAATTTCATTTACTTATTCATTTCAGACATTAAAAACGTTTTTAAAAGAATGGGGTTTATAAGTGGTATAACTAAGTAGCTATAAACATTTTTTCTTTTCACACAGACTTCCAGAATGTGCCTGCAGGCAATCAGATTTTTAGCAGGTAATTGATGATGGTCAGTTATATTCAGATTCTGTCCAAATTGATATTCTTGAAAAAAACAAAATGTACAAATATTACAACGGAGAGAAATCATCACAAGCTGCAAGATTTCATAGGATGAAAGTTTAGGCATTGATTATGGAATTGGGTGCAATTTTATGTTATGTGAGGAGCAAGTACTTTTTGTCTTTGAGCATTTATGATAGTAACAGTTTCCATTTATTAAATAGATGTGATATATTAAGAACACTACTCAGATATTTTACACCTAATGTATAATCTTTGCAACAAGTGTATGAGATAACTTTATTCCTATTATAATAATGTGGAAATTGAGCTTCAAAGAGACTGCCACTTGCCCCTGGTTATGCAGGAGGCCCTTAAAAGACCTGAATTTTGGCAGGGCACGGTGGCTCACGTCTGTAGTCCCAGCACTTCGGGAGGCCGAGGAGGGCAGATCACGAGGTCAGGAGATCAAGACCATCCTGGCTAACACGGTGAAACCCCGTCTGTACTAAAACACACACACACACACACACACACACACACACACACACACACACACATTAGCTGGGTGTGGTGGCGGGCGCCTGTAGTCTGAGCTACTCGGGAGGCCGAGGCAGGAGAATGGCATGAACTGGGGAGGCAGAGCTTGCAGTGAGCTGAAATTGCACCACTGCACCCCAGCCGAGGTGACAGAGCGACACTCCGTCTCAAAAAAAGAAAAAAAAAAGACCTGAATTTTTACTTGGGTCTCAATTAATCTGAAACAATTTTCCTCTTAATATGTCCATCTGGCTAGCTGTCTTCAGGTCCCTGTTGAACTATCACTTTATTAAAGAAGACATTTAATAAAAAAAACATGTTAAGGAATTTGCGACTGTTTCCAGCCCCTTGACACATACCTTATCTGACCCAGGGGGTATGTATGGATCTTTATGTTTGCTGTCTGTGTCATGCACTTAATTATCAGCTCCACAGGGTGTGAGGCTTTGTTTTGTTCACTTCTCAGTCCCCAGCATGCAGAAGAGAACGTGGACTATGCTTTCTAATCATGCATGAGCAATGAAAGGATGAGAGAATGAAGGCATTCAAGATATTGTGCTCTTAAATCCTTTGCGAAATTGTCTGCAGGTCTCCGCAAGTTCTTTAACTATTAGCTGAAAAATTGTACAATGGGTCACAATGACCCTTGTCAAAAAACCTCCCCCCACCTCAGTTTCTTTATGTGTAAAATAAAGATCTACCTTATCAAAGTTGTTATAGGGCTTAAAGATAATTTAATAGATGTCAGCAATTTGTTAAATATAAAGCATCATGGAAATTCTAGTGAGTTTACTATTCTTGTTCACTTTTCAAATAAGATGATCATTCCTGGTTCTGATTCAAAACCAAACAAAAATGGTAAATCACTGTCACAGACAAGTATATACTGGCCAGTTCTTAACAAGAGTAATGAGGCTGTCCTGCAGTATTTGTTTTATTTATCCACATTGATTGCATACAAGGTACAGCTAAACTTCCAGTAAGTGTCCTCTTTGCTAGATACCTTCTGTTTGCTTCCCTCTTCTGCTGTCCACCCTGCCCTGTTCTTTAGAATACAAGGAAGCTGACCTCTTTGGACGCTGAACTTCCTTGTTTGAGGCCTTCTAGTTGTGTTCAGCCAATGGGAGAATTTTGGAGCTCAGAAGCAAGAGAAGTCAAAGCATTTTATTCTCTCCACTTCCTCCCTGCCAGGTCACAGCTTGGAGGTGTCTGCCTTCCTCTGCCAAGGCCACAGCCCCCAGTGAGGTTCTTATTGTGTTCTGGGAACACAATAAAGCTTCTTCCTCTTGCCCTTTCAGTTTTGAGCAGTAACTCCTTCCCATGTTTGGTAGTTCTCGCGTGTTTCATCATATCTTGTTGCTTCCCCTGATTCTGCCAATGCCTGTTTAAGGAGTTCTTGCACATTAAAAATTCTGCTTCCCCATTTGAGTGTGACCCACAGTCCCTTTCAAGATCCTTACAGATACATTGTATGTACGACAATTAAGCTGGCACTTGCATATTGCTTACTTCATACCACAGAGGTGTAGATGTTTAGGTACTTTGGAAAAGTTATGGATTTTGTAGATGAGGACACTAAGGCCCATGGATGATAGTTTGTCTAAAGTCACACAGCACATAAGTAGCATATCTGAGATATGACCTGAGACAATCTGGCTTCAATAGTAGCAGTTTGCTACTTTTAAAATCTTAAATGAGGGCCGCTCAGGCTAGTGACTTTTCCAATTACAAAGCCAGTGGTGTTTATTAAATGATTTACTGTTCATTAATCACCATTCACTGTGAGAAGTGCTTATTTGAAGTCATTAACTGAGCTCTCCAGTCACCCAGTGATCCTTAATTCAACAGAAAAATTTGTTTTTTTGTGCCCCAGCTAATTTGTGCTTGTTAATATATAATTAGTGTGCAGTATCTTACTCTATTATAGAAACAATGCAAAACCAGGAAGAAGCAGAGATAATTTACACATAATCAAAGACGATTACACATCTTTTTTTCAAATTAATGGTGTAATAAATTTTCACAGCCATTTTTACACCTAAGTTTTCTTACATTTCAACATAAAGGCAGCAGAAATAAAGGTTGGTAAGCGTGGTATACTGAAAGCCAACTCATATCAGCTTATCAGAGTCAGTTAACAAGAATTTTATGAGCTTGCTGTTAAGTACAACCACTATTTAAAAATTTAAAACCAAATAATGCTCCAATTCCTGCAACTGTTCCCCAAAAAAGTGCTCTTGCAATGAACAGTGCTGAAGTTGAAAAGAGTTTCAGTGTAATGAATACAAGTTATATGAATGTTAAAAATAGTGTAAAAGTACATCACTTATCCTATTTAATGACAATAAATGTAATGGGAAGAACGAACTTGAGATGTAATCCCATTAGAAAAGAAACCCTTTTTGGGGGGTGGGAAGAGGGAGAGAATCAGGAAAAATAACTAATAGGTACTAGGTTTAATACCTGAGTGATGACGAATCCATGGTTCCTTATTTTGGTCGTCACTGGTGCAGTTTACTCAGGGAAAGCCCGTTCTGTTTGGCTATAAGTTTTGGTGTGGTGCCATATGTCTGGGCTACATTTGCTGGTTTCAGCCGTATCAGGGTAAAAACCCAAATACTAAACATTAGGGATATGGTGTTGTTGAGTCACTTGTCCGTCAGCTTAGTGAGGCACTTACAGAGGCACATCCTGGACAATACCATTTTGTATTCGATAACTTTTTCACCAGTATTGTACTTCTTGATAAGCTCAGTTCAATGGGAAATCGGGCAACAGGTACAGTGAGAAAGGATCACATTGAGAAAGCTCCACTGAAATTAGATGTAGCTCTAAAGAAAAAAGAAAGGCACATTCCATTATTGAATTGATGGCAAAGGCAGTCTTGTCTGCAGATGGAATGATAACAGTGTTGTCACTGTTGCCTCTTCTGGTGCTGGAATCCATCCCCCGTGTCTTGTCCATCGTTATTCCCAGAATAACGAATAACTGAAAAAGAAACCCAAGTTCAGCAGCCAAACATGATCAAAGTGTATAACCAGTGCATAGGGAGCATAGACAGCGCTGATGAAAACATTGATAAGTATCGGGCATCTATCCATGGAAAGGAATGGCATTCAAGCCCTCTTCTGTTCTGTTTTGAATTGGTCTTACAAAATGCTTGGCAATTGTATAAAACATATGATGAGAAGCCAATAGATTTTCTGGAGTTTGGTTGATGCCATTATCTGGAGACCCATGGTCACCCTCCAGAACCTGGCCGAAAACAAATTCATACATCTCTCATTGCGTTTGCTTATGAGAGGTTGCAACTTGGAAAACTCGTCCATTGGATCCAAATTTGCATTGTCAGCAACATGCAAGTTAGAAAATATAGTTTCAAAGTGGTCACATCTCATGGCAGCACAAACCAGTATATTATGTGCATCTGTTCTTTTTTCCCAAAACGTATGCCTTCTATGAACTGAGATGTAATCATTCAGAAAATAATTCCTAGGAAACATTTGAATTCAGAGCTAGTTAAGCCACGCTGTACACCCTTACTTCGAGCGTGTAAATTGGAGTACCTGACAATGAGTTCAACGACCTTGTCATCAAGAAAACGTTCAAGAATTTCTGTGGGAGTTTCATTTCGGTGAAGAAATCATTTGGTGGTTCTGTAACTCTAGCTGCTATGAGTTGCGCAGTTAGGTCAGCTTTTTTTCCATTTGCAAACAATTTTTGTCACTTTCCTCCTCCTTGATGGTGGAGGTTGCTGCACAGTAGAGGTAGGTGGAACTTCATCGGGAGAGTCATCTTTAGGTGCGTATGAGGGATCATCTGAGTCAGACTCAGCATCAGAGCCATCTTGAATAAGATATGCAACTGTGTGCAACAAAGAACCTGGCAGATTATTTATTATCCCCCCTTCTTCATCTCCTGAGTCCTCAACAGAAACAGGTGCTGCAGCAGTTTCAGGTTGTTGTATCACTACAGCACTTGAGTCTATGCTGTCATTTGTCTCTAAAAGGTCAGTTATTTCATGCAAACTTAGAGTTCAAGGCATCTTGGGACTAACACAGAAAAAAAAGGTATTATTAGTCCTAGTGGCAGTGGTTTTGCCTAGTGTTCTAAAAATGGAACATGAAAAATGCCAAACCCATAACTAATGCAACTATAATAATTTCTGTATTTTCTTTTTAAAGCATAATAGTATAACTAGTAGAGAAGTAGTAGAATAAATTACTAGTATAGGATGTAATTCAGTGAAGTTATATGTACCTGTCTTTGCATACTTCCTCAAAAATGTTTCCCAAACTAACTTCACTTTTTGACAAGCTCCCAGCACAGCAGTATCTGCAGCAGTGACTAAGGCTGTGCACCATGTGATAACATGTACCCTCCGGAGGCAGACGTGTGAAAAATAAAACCTTGGTGATGACCTTGAGGAGTAGGATATAAATAACTCCCACATGCTTAGCGCTCCAATAATGGAACAACAGGTATAAATTAAGTAAGGTACAATTAAAAAGTCAGCAATTTTCCCAATATTTTTCTATGGTAACTCATTGAAAAAGTGGTCCTTTCGCATGGCTCTGCAGTTTTGGTTTTGTCATAAATAAAGTAACTGCTGGCTGATTTATCCCTCTCTGTACCTCCCTGTCCTTCCACCTTATTAATTTTATACAAAAGTAACTTTGTTATTTGTGGCCTTTCACAAAAGTTTTAGGATCAGCTTGTCATTTGATCCGTTGCCAAGAATTTAGAATCATCATTTTGTCAATTTCCAACATACACAGTCACACACAACCTTTCACATCTTTATTAGAATAGAACTGAATCTATATATCACATGGGAAGAACTGACATTTTTATGATCTTGAGCCATCCAATTTATAAGCATGATATACTTTCTGTTTATTTAGGTCTTCTATTGTTTCTCTAATAAAGTCATGGTAAAGCTTTCTGTGTAGACCTGTCCCAAAGCTTTACTTCAAAGATTTATTCCTAAGTATTTGATGCATTTTCATCTTTGTTTTCTTTAATTTTCCAAGTGTTTGTTGTTAAAATATAGAAATTTAATTCCTTTTTCATATATGAATATTAACCAAAAGTCTTGCATATGGTTTTTTTTTGTTATTTTTATTATTACCTTTTTTTTTGAGACAGAGTCTCGCTCTGTTGCCCAGGCTGGAGTGTAGTACCACCATTTTGGCTCACTGCAACCTCCACCTCCTAGGCTGGAGCACTTCTCCTGCCTCAGCCACCTGAGTAGCTGAGACTACAGGTGGGCACCACCAAGCCTGGCTAATTTTTATATTTTTGGTAGAGACAGGGTTTCACCATGTTGGGCAGGCAGGTCTCGAACTCCTGGCCTCAAATGATCTGCCTGCCTCGGCCTCCCAAAGTGCTGGGATTCCAGGCCTGAGCCACTGTGCCCTGTCTTGCCTACGTTTTTAATATTTTATCTGTATATACGTCTGCTAATAATGACAATATAATGTTTAAATTTTCATTTCTGATAACTTTTATTTGGTTGGTGTTTCCAATATTTAAATGAAGCAGTAATAAATATCACACTTGTAATAGCTCCAACCTTAAAAGAATAATTTTCTACATTTCATTATTCAAAGTGTGATGCTTGGTTAGGCTTTTTTTTTTTTTAACATTTTCTCTAATAAATACATTTTTCTAATTATCAGAATATCTTATGAGTGTATTTTAAGTACCAAATCATTTCTTTGAATTTTTTTTCTAATATTTTGGGTTCAAGGCCTTTTCTTGTGGTCCTCAGGGAAAAAAGTAGTGACTATGCTCTAGAATTAACTAGCATTATATTCCTGAAAGTACTGTCTCTTATGATTTTTTTTTTTTTTTTTGAGATAGAGTCTCACTCTGTTGCCCAGGCTGGAGTACAGTCACGTGATTTTGGCTCACTGTAACCTCCGCCTCCTGGGCTCAAATGATTCTCCTGCCTCAGCCTCCCAAGTAGCTGGGATTGCAGGTGCCCACCACCAGGCCTGGCTAGTTTTTGTATTTTTAATAGAGATGGGGTTTCACTATGTTGCCCAGGCTGGTCTTGAACTCCTGGCCTCAAGTGATCCACCTGCCTCAGTCTTTCAAAGTTCTGAGATTACAGGTGTGAGCCACCACGCCCAGCTTATGATCTTTTATTTTGCATTTCTTGGTTAAAAATTGCCTTAATTAATGTTTTTTTCTTTATAAAAAGTTTACGTTTTGTGTAGAGCACCAAGTAAAATTTAGTTAACAGGACTCTGAGATGGCAACATGAGGAGTTCCATGGAGGAAGAAAGAGCACTACGGGTGAAAACTATTTACAAAGCAGCTGTGGAGAGTCTCTGGCAATTGTCTCAACAGCGTACAGCAAAGGAAGAAACATTTGTTGTAGAAAGCCTACCAAATACCAAGAGTCTGAGGCACTCAAGACATAATCCACCTCCTTTCCCTGAGTTCAGCAGATGGAACCTCATCTCCAGAGATATGGAGGAAAAAAGACAGAGCTCTCCCTTTCCTCAGCTCCCAACCGAGGAATATTATCTCACTGGGAGGCACAGGCCACCAACATTTCATGTCTCCTCTAATTTCAAGTTGAGGCTAAATTGCTAGTAAATACAATTGAGAGGTCAGAGGATCACTTCCTCAGCCTGGCCTTCCCTCTTAAGATGAAAGCTTTACGCCAGGCATTTCAGGCTGTCTTGAAGGGCATGCCCTAGACGACCTGAAGGATTCTGGTTGGGAGAGACAAGTCTAGAAAACCACAGGCTGTACCCAGTACTTGTAGTGGTAGCTCAGAGATTGTGCCAAGGGAGAATAGAAGTGTGTAAGAACAGAGAGCCCTAACTCTTTCCCCAAAAGAACTGAGTGTATTTGAAAAAGAGTGTGGGGAAGTTCAGATCTAAGGGCTTGAAAACAATGGAAATGTTGGTGGTATACAAATAATAAACTGGTAATTCCTCATAATTAAGAAGAACATGCTAAAACATAAACTAATTAGTTTACTTATGAGAACCAGATAATGTGACTGCTATAAATAATCCATATGTTTGAGGTCAAAGAAAACCTCAAACAATGGCCTCAAAAACCACAGTTTGCCCAGATGTAATTGCATCAGACTGTGGAGCAATATATAATCCAGGACGTTCTAGAAAACAACAGCATAATCAGCCAGCAATTAGTGGATCCTAATAATTGGATGTGAACCAAATGAGGCAGGCAGGTTAACAGAGAGATCAAGGAAAGAAACATTCAAAGAAAACCTTGTTTAAACAACAGTAATCCAATGCTTACCCTGTCCATGTCCAAGGCTGTGCCCTCTGAGCAATGAGCACAAAAGCCTTCACCGTGGTAAGAAGTAGACTTTACAAAATAAGTTAGGCAATACTTAAATAGGCAAACAATTAGCAAAACAAATCCCAGAGAGGGGGGAGGAAAATCTGTATCATGATTGACTACATATATTCTTTAAAGTGTCCAATTTTTTACAACTAAGACAAATGATGTGACATCTGAAACAAGAAAGTGTGACTCATACATAGCGGGAAACGTAGGCAACAAAAACTTCCTGTGAAAGGATCCAGATGTCAAATTTAACAGACAGATTTAAATATGTTCAAACCATTAGGGGTTTGTCCTAATGCATGCAGGACTTAAAACCTAGATGACGGGTCGATGGGTCCAGCAAACCACCATGGCACATGTATACCTACGTAACAAACCTGCACATTCAGCACATGTATCCCAGAACTTAAAAAAAAAACTTAAAAAGTAAAACGAAAATAAAACCAAAAGCAAACACACACAAACAAATAAACAATGATAACAGTGCCACATGATTTCAAAAAAAGATAAAAGTTATAAAAAAGAACCAAATGAAAATTCTGGATTTGAAAAGAATAATCATTAAAATGAAAAATTCACTAGAGAGGCTCAACAGTAGATATGAACTGGAAGAAGAAAGAATCTGTGAACTTGATAATAGATCAACCAAGGTTATATAACCTGAATAACAAAAGAAAAAAGAATGAATAAAAATAACTAGAATCTAAAAGACATGCGAGATGCTATTGGACACCAGCATATGCACAATGGGTGTGCTGGAAACAGAGGAGTGATAAAGAAAAACAAATACGTACTTGAAGAAATAATGGTGGAAAATCTCCCCAATTTGCTGAAAAACATTAGTCTACCCACCAAAGGAGCTCAACAAACAAAAAATAAATACAAAGATATCTACAGCTAGCAACATCACGGCAAAAACACTAAAAGCTTAAGACAATAAGACAATCTTGAAGGTAAAATGAGAACAAGTTGTTGCATACAGGTAACCCCAATAACATAAGTGAATGATGTCTCACAAAAAGCAATGGAAGCTAGAAGGTAATGACATATTTTAAATGTAAAAACAAACGAACAAACACTGTTGACAAAAAAAACTTATATCCAACAGAACTATTTTTCAAAAATCAAACAAGGTAAAGGCATTACAAAACAACTGAAAAACTCAGATAATTTATTGCTGGCCACAGAAAGTAATCCAACTTCCCATGAACAAACTAACAGCACTGGTTAAGATGATTATGTCATTATAAAAGATAGCATGAAAGGATATTTATTCTCCTTTTGTCTCTTAACTAATTTAAAGGATAATTGTATACAAAATAAATTGTATAAAACACTGTGTGTATATCCATTCATCCATCATGTAATCTAGCTATTCATCTATCTAATCTCTTTTATCTATTGATCTATCTAACCATCTATTCATCTATCTTTTCACTTATCTCTCATCCATCCTCCATCTATTTAATCTATCTACTTATCTATTAATCTATCTACCATCCATACATCTATTGTTACATATAGTTAGGCCAATAATATATACAATATATGGAAAAGGAATACATTTGCAAATGTCAGCACAAAGGTGGTGGGTGACCAAACTCACACTTTCCATTTACAAACTTACTGCAAATCTGAAGTAGTCAAAGCAGTGTGATCTTGACACAAAAATAGACATATAGACCAAGAGGACAGAACTGAGATGTGAGAAATAAACACACGCATATATAGCCGATTGAGCTTTGAGCAGCAAATAGACAACCACAGTGATTTTTAAACTAAATTAATTGTCAACATTTAAGGCCAAGGTGCGAGGATCACCTGAGGTCAGGAGTTCGAGATCAGCCTGGCCAACGTGGTGAAACCCCATCTCTACTAAAAACACAAAAATTGGTCTGGTGTGGTGGTGCACGCCTGTAATCCCAGCTACTCAGGAGGCTGAGACAGGAGAATCGCTTGAACCCAGGAGGCGGAGGTTGCAGTGAGCCAAGGTCATGGCACTTCACTCCAGCCTGGGTGACAGAGCAAGACTCTGTCATTAATAAATTAATTAATTAAAAAATAAAATTTGTCTGGTTTCCCTAAAAATTTGGAAAATTCATAAACACCAGGCCACATTCCTGCATACAAAGACTTGGCTGGGGGTGAATGATGGTTCTATCCACTGAAATTGGGTCACCCTCACTCAGTTCACCACAGTCCCCAACTGACCTGCTACATTTGCATCTTCTCTGTGGTTCATTTTGGTGTTTTTGATGATGGCCCCTGGAAAAAATAATTGCACCAATGATTATTTAACTACACTTGTTATGAGTCCTTAAATAGGAATTCTGAGAGCAGTTTATTGTAACCGGAATCTCTTACCTAGTTTCAGGACTCCATTCTCGGGGAATTCCTCTAAGCGTTTTTGTCTGAGTTAACTGACAGAAAGAGACAGTTAACACTTACTCTTTCTTAGCATGCTTTAAAATTGAAATAATATTCAATAACAATTCACTTTTGCCTCATGATGTGTATGTTATGAGTAATATGTCAAAAGAATTGTGGAAAAAGGAGCTGTGCAAGTTGTCACTATTTTGGGAGTTAAAAAGCTGTTGAAAAGTATATCTATGGCTAACAAGGATGTAAATTCTGGTATCCTGACTTTAAGCAAGATACTGACACATAATATTCAGTTACTAAAATGCTGTAAGGCAAATGTTTCCAGGCCACATATATTCATCCACTTGGCATTCAGAAAATCATGTTGTGTGTTTGGAAGAATGGCATGTGTTTGAAAGAGCCAGAAATTATGTCTACCAGCCTGCACACTGGCTGGCCCTGGGAACCTTTTGTAATGCAACAAGGTGGACACATTTAAATGTCTTAAAAACAGAAAATACACACAGTTCTCAGTATATTAGGAGAAGTACTTTAAGGCCAGAAAAGTCCACATATGGAAGAGTATGTCTTTTTTTTTTTTTCACTTTTAGTAGATGAAATTAGGCCATCACCAAAATTACTTCAATTTCCTTATTGTAATCCCACCCAAGCAACTTCAACATACCTGGCTTTGTATTGTCTACTTTGCACGTATTACGTTATTTTCTTTTCCATATTATAGGTAACAAAAACAGCAAGCATCTACTGCATACTTACCACATGCCATGCTAAGCCATTAGTAGTCTACATAAAATACTTAATTTAACCCTAACAATGGCCTTATGCAGTGGTTATTATTACATTCCAGTTTTATGGATGGAGAAACAAAGGCTATAAGCAGTTAATATGTCCTGAATCAAAGAGCTAATAAATGCATAATAGTAAGTGTGGATCAAGGTATAAATCCGTCTCTCTGGTACCATAGTTGTTTTATCTGTAATGAAAACCCAGACTTTTCCCTAATGCACATTTCCATGCCATATACATGTGTGTTTGCATTTTACTCTTGCCTCACATTGGACGTGTCTGCAAATGGTCATCATGCTAGTAATATATATATATTACAAACTTGATATAAAATGATAAGCTTAGTAAAAAATAAAAAGGTTTGTTAAAATTGTTAAAATACACTGTCTATTTGCAACTATATAAACATATAGATACATAATAAGTATTGGTAATAATATAAAAGGCAAGATTCCTTTGAAAACAAGCCAGTACTGTCTTCTCTAAGTCTTTTAGCTTTCTGAAGTGGTTATTACCGTACCTCCTCATTTCTTATGACCTTGTTACTAGGATGAAATAAAGAGACAAATTCAGTTTACTAAGGTTGTAGAAGAGCCTTAGGTCCAATTTTTGTCTTCCCCTTGTGAGTGTACTGATAACTTGATTTAATTGCTCAGCCCCTGTGAGGAAGCTTCCAGCAGAATTTCTCACTCTCTGCAAGTCAGGCATTGCAAACAACATTGAGACTGATAGAACTGTACTTGCGTCTCTGCGTTTCCCTTCTTTCCTGAATCTTGGCCTTTCATGTTCTAATTACCTTAGTAACCCTGCATTCCACTTTTATTTTTTCAGCCTCCTGGGACTATCTAAAACCCTGTCTACTGCATGTTTTCTGTGAGGATTTCTGTTTGACTTCTCAACCTGTTATTCCATGCTGCTTATAACCAGCAAATTCTTGAAGGAAAAAAGGGAAAATGTCAGTTTCACCCTGATAAGTTTCTGATCCCTCTGGCATCCTGCTCCTCATATACTGGATGTCTCAGTAGCTCCCCAATGCCATCAGGTTTTTTAAAAAATGTTTCCAATTTTCTTAGTTTTTCCCAGTGGTAGATTTGCTCTGCACCAAACGAACCCATCAAACCCCAAAGTAGAATGTCTCTCATCTACTCTTCTTTTATTCCACCCTCTCTGAATTTTACATCCTTCTACACTTTTTGGCTTAGTTAGGAACTTGAATCCCTCTTATAGCCTCTCAAAAGTTATTTCTGGGGCAGAGAGCTCAATACGTCTCAGGCAGCACAACTAAAAAGGAAGACTTTTTTCTCCCATTCACCTGAATCCAGCCATGAAAAGAGCCTTAAATGGAACAAAGCGATAATCTCTGCCCTGGTCTTTCCCTAATCAATACTAAATTAGCATCAGTTTAGTGTTTGAGGCAGAGAAATACACATAACTTTATATTAGGTCGTAAATAATATTTTTAGTAATACCGTCAAGAGCCATCTAATTGGCATCCACTTTAGCCTTTAACTTAGAAAATCTTGGAGAATAGTGAAGGAAAAATCTACAGTAATTAGATTTCTCAGAGAACAATAAATACCCCCGGGACTAATGCCACTTTATTTACCAGGGATTTGCTTCTGTAACATGGCATAAGAGCAGCAAGAAACAAAATCAAATAACCTCATTTGCTTTTTACGTGGGAGGCAAGGGCCGTTTCGTTGAATGTCTGCACACGAGTCTACCTTTTAACAGAGATGATGATGTATGTGTTTCTCTAAAGAGAGAGTGCTTCCCTGTGAGAGTTGCTGCTGAAAAGACAGAGCCCTTGGTGTGTGCCAATTGCACCAGACACTGGCTTTTCCTGCTCCATGTCACTGTTTGCAAACCGGAGTTTCACATTTAAGTCTATTCAGAATGTTTCAGATGTATGGCTTGAATTGGGTGCTTATTTATCTGTGTCTCCTAAAACGATACAGCTAGTATATTCTCTTTTTTCTTTTTCTTTTTTTTTTTTCTTTTTTGAGACGGAGTCTGGCTCTTTCACCCAGGCTGGAGTGCAGTGGTGCGATCTCGGCTCACTGCAAGCTCCGCCTCCCGGGTTCACGCCATTCTCCTGCCTCAACCTCCCGAGTAGCTGGGACTACAGGCTCCCGCCACCACGCCTGGCTAATTTTTTTGTATTTTTTTTTAGTAGAGACGGGGTTTCACCGTGTCAGCCAGGATGGTCTCGATCTCCTGACCTCGTGATCCGCCCACCTTGGCCTCCCAAAGTGCTGGGATTACAGGAGTGAGCCACTGCGCCCGGCCTGATTCTATTTTTTTAAAAACTATTATAACAGGATTCTTGAACTGGGTCTGAACTGAGATTCAGTCTCAGAAAACATTGCTCTCCACTTTAGGGATTTCTAGAATGTAAAAGTCGAGGTAAAATTTGAGGTCCTGCCAGATGGCCCATGGTGGTTGTAAGCACAGGGTCTATAAACATCCCCAAACATGGCCATACCACAAACGCACGGGACTGCAGGAGATTGCAGGCTACCCCTCTATACCTCTTCAGGGATGCTGGGACATCTATGAAAAGAAAACCAGAACATATTTTCTTTCTTTCTCATTAAGTGCATTGTGTCTCCAAGCATTAAGATTTGGCTTTCTTTGTAGGTGTGGCACATTTGCTTACCAGCTAGAAAAGCCCAAAATATGCATGAGATGACATTCTGATTTGGCTCTCAGTTTGAATGTTGTTGATGTATAGAAATGCTACTCGTTTTCGGACCTGGATTTTGTGTCCTTTACTGAAGCTCTTTATCAGTTCTATGAGCTTTTTGAAAGAGTCTTCAGAATTTCTAGGTTTTATATCATCAGTGAAGAGACATAATCTGACTTCTTTTTCCCCTATCTGGATGGCTTTGTTTATTTCTTAGCATGGACTTCCAGTACCATGTTGAATTGGGGTGGTAAGAGTGGGCATCCTTGTCGTCTTGTTCCAGGTCTCAAGGGGAATGATTTCAGCTTTTGGTTTCCCAGTATGATGTTGGCTGTGCATTTGTCATCGCTTTCTCATAGTATTCTGAGGTATGTTCCTTTGATGCCTATCAACAGTGGACTGGATTTTAAAAATGTGATTCAAATACCCCGTAGAATACTACACAGTCATGAAAAAACAAAATCATGTCCATGGCAGCAACACGGAGGCAACTGGAGGCCATTATCCTAAGCAAATTAACACAGAAACAGACAACCAAATATTGCATGTTCTCTCTTATAAATGGGAGCTAAACATTGAGTACACATTGACATAAAGATGGGAACAATAGACCCTGTGGACTATTAGAAAGAGGTGAGAGGAAGGGGTTGAAGGTTGAAAAACTACCTATTGGGTACTGTGCTGACTACCTGGGTGACAGGATCATCCATACCCCAAACCTTAGCATATTCCCATGTAACAAGCCTGCACATGTACGCCCAAACCTAAAACAAAAGTTGAAATTTAAAAAGAAAGAAAGAAAATTCTGTGAAACATCACTGAAAATATATTTTTGACCCCTTCATTAATATTAGAAATATTTAATTCATATAAAACACAAATTGATTACTCAAAGAAACCAGCCTGCACATGTACCCCAAACCTAAAACAAAAGTTGAAATTTAAAAAGAAAGAAAATTCTGTGAAACATCACTGAAAATATATTTTTGACCCCTTCATTAATATTAGAAATATTTAATTCATATAAAACCAAAATTGATTATTTAAAGAAAAAGTATATTCACTTACATAACTTAAAAATCTTGGAATATCTGGCACCAGGCATGGGTGGATCCAGATACCCAATTAATATTTTCAGACTCTCTCTTGCATTATGTTTATTATTTTGTTTCGTTTATTTTGTTTTATCTTATTTTACTTTTCTGAATCAGGGTCTTACTCTGTCACCTAACGTGGAGTGCAGTGGTGTGATCCTGGCTCACCGTAGCCTCGACCTCCTGGGCTCAAGCTATCCTTACACCTTAGTCTCCTGAGTAGCTGAGACCACAGACATGTGCCACCATGCCTGGGTAATGTTTTGCAGTTTTTGGTTTTGGGGTTTTTTTTTTTTTTTTGTATTTTTTGTAGAGACAGGGTTTCATCATGTTGCCCAGGCTGATCTGGATCTCCTGGTCTCAAGCTATCTGCCTGCCTTGGCCTCCCAAAGTGTTGGGATTACAGATGTGCGCCACTGTGCCTGGCCTCTCTTGCATCATGGTTTAATTCCAACAATATTGATTGAACAGTCACTGTGCACATGATACATTTCTGAATATAGAAATAGGGTAGTGACCAAAGTAGATGCAATTGCTGTTGCTGCAGAGCTGACATGCTGGGGGGCTTGGGGTGTGTCTTACACGCTGGTCACATGTTCTCACTTCTCGAATGTCCCTTGAGGTGTTTTAAACTTTAGCAGGGCTGTTTCCAGTGGTTGGAACTCAGCTGTTTAGCTTTGATATCTCTCCAGTAAAATGTACAGTAAAACTAAACAAAACAAACAAGAAAAATCCTGTATTTTTCATGACACTCTGCAAATGATTTTAGACTTCAGTGACACAGAGTAATATTCAGTTATATTCTTATGCCCGAACCAACCAGGGGAACTGCAGAAATGAAATGTGCTATTGTCACCGGACGCGGTGACTCACACCTGTAATCCTAGCATTGTGGGAGGCCGAGGCGGGTGGATCACCTGAGGTTGGGAGTTCGAGACCAGCCTGACCAACATGGAGAAACCCCGTCTCTACTAAAAATACAAAATTAGCCAGGCATGGTGGCGCATGCCTGTATAATCCCAGCTACTCGGGAGGCTTAGGCAGGAGAATCACTTGAATCCGGGAGGGAGAGGTTGCGGTGAGTCATGATCGTGCTGTTGCACTCCAGTCTGGGCAACAAGACCAAAACTCCGTCTCAACAACAACAAAAAAAGGAAATGTGTTGATTGTCGTAGGCCTGGAACCCAGGTGAACTGGGACTTGGGTCAACCCTACTAAACACATAGACTGAGAGTGAGGAAGGGTCCCCAAAGGAGATTTGGGGTCTCAGTATCAGAAGAAGAGGATGTTTCCTAAAAAGGAAAATATAACCAGCACCTACATCTTCAATAATATTTTCTCGGGATATATGCTCCAAAGTGAAAATGTAGATTCAACAGATAAATTTGAAGTGTGTTGATACATTTTGTTAAGTGTCTTTCAAAAGACTGTCAATTTATTGTAATTCCAACCTTGCATAACTTCTTTACATAGCGAATAAATTTGTTAAAACAATACAAACTGTGATTGAAATGTAAAATGCCTTTATATATTCTGAGATAATTTTCCAATGATTAAAGGCTTTCCAATATGTGTATTAATCTGGAACTTTCCATTAGTTCGAGTTTCAATGATTTCTAAAATGATACCTTATCATGGTTGTTACAATGCAGAAAAAAAGCAAGACAAACATATCTTCTTTGGAGAAAATGTAACTTTTTCATGCTGCCTTCTCAGATAGATAATTTTTCAATTACCTTACTTTGGAATTTTGAAAGTAGAATAATTTCTTCCTAAAAATGACCACAGTTCTCCTTTTCACTGGCAGAAGATCAGCATACTTTTTTTTTAAAGTGCTTTCCCAAGAACATTAAGTCAAGTAGAAGGAAACAAAATAGAAAGCGGAAAATTCTAAACTTATAGATTTAATATAAAGTTTCCCCAAATAGAAATGACATAAGTGTTCTGTTACCAGATGATTAAACTCTCCAGATCTGCCTGCATTTTCTCACTGCCAGAGCTACTGTGCTTTGAAATATCCCTGTTTATTGAGAGTGTGGTTGGTTGTGGTGTACTGAAGGCAGCTCTTTCACTTTTGTGCCCATTTTGAATGAATAAGAAGAGAGCAGTATCTTCCAAGCCTTCACCCCGAGAATCCACTTTGCAGTCAGAAAGTCAGAAATGTCTGCTTCACTTGAGAAGCCTCTTGCTTCACCTTCTTTCAATATAATAAGAAAAATACCCGACGTCAACATAGCTCTGCTTGCCCAGTGTAGTCTGCACTGGGCTCATCTGCTGTTTGCCCCATGTTTCTTCTTGACCTTGACTCTGTGCAATTACCCATTGGCAGGTGGACATCACCTGGTTACTACGGTCTTACTACAGCAAGAACAAGTGATGGAGACACTGCATGGCCTCTTAGAGAATTGATTGCTTCCTTTCTTTCTTAGAGAAAGAATCATACAGAAGTCTTGTCTGGTGGCCACAGAGAAACTAGTCCAGCAGTTGAGGGTCCAGCCCACACTCTCTCCAGACCTAGGAGTAACTACGAAGTGTTACACAATTCTTCTTATGAATTGAGGCAGTAGATACTGATTGATAAGTAATGTCTGTATTGTACAATATTGATGTAAGTATTGTAAAAGGATTAATGAACACTGAAATGCACAAAGTAGGAAAAAAGATGCTGTCCGTCTCCACTGCTAGTCTACTCCCCTGAGTTAGTTTGCTTGTAATCTATCCTTCTAGGCTAAATGCAAATCCAAGATGCTAAACACTTGGATAGTCCGTCTCAGCATTTCCTTAAGGAATTCAAGCACATGGCCTCTGCCGATAGATGCGCTCACATCCACTGTTGGTTTAGATTTCTTCTACATATTTTCTGTTGTGTTGTTTTTCTTTTTTGAGACAGTCTTGGTCTGTCACCCAGGCTGGAGTGCAGTGGCACCATCTTGGCTCACTGCAGCCTCCACCTCCCGGGTTCCAGCTATTCTCCTGCCTCAGTCTCCCGGGTAGCTGGGATGACAGGCATGTGCCACCAAGCCTGGCTAATTTTTGTATTTTTAGTAGAGATGGTGTTTCACCATGTAGGCCAGGCTGATTTTGAACTCCTGACCTCAGGTGATCCACCTGCCTCGGTCTCCCAAAGTGCTGGGATTACAGGTGTGAGCCACTAGGCCCGGCCACTTCTAGATATTTTTCTCTTCATGACAGAGGTCTTTGATAATACCCTAGAGAAAATGACAGCCCCCAGTATAGTGTCATCGCTGTTTTCACCCTGCTTCATTTCCCTCCAGACCATCCATCAATACATCTGTATTGGCATTATTTATTTCACTGTCTTTCTTTCTTCATTTGACTATAAGCTCCACGAGTACAGCAACTTCATGCCTTTTGACCAATGGTATAACCCATGCTCAGAAAACCGCCAGCCACAAAGTGGGCCTTCAATGCAAATTTGTTGAAGGAATGGGTGATGTAATGAAGAAATGGATGCACATACATAATATAGGTATGTCCACATTCTTATTTTATGCCTGTGCCTGTCATTGTTAATCACTCACAGCCCTTTTTTCCCACTCAATCTGCATCTCAGAGATTGCCTTTACATTATTGACGGTAAACAGAGCTTTATTCAGTGTGAAAACTGTTCTCTATCTCTCCTCTATGAGATAAAGTCTATTATCTTGAAAACTACAGAATTTTGGAATCAGATGATCTTATTCTAGTAAAATTAATAATTCCTTTTCCTAAAAGTTACTTCACATTTATTCTTTAGAAGTAATGAAACTTACTCAGGGACAGGGACTGGATTGTTTTAAAGAGGACAGATGCTCTCCCTGCATTTGAATCCTGGCCAACATGCTAGCTGTTGGATTTGGGGAAAGATATTTTCCACTCTGTGTTTCAGGTGTCTCATCGGCAAAATTAAAAAATATACATACCTACCTTACAGAGTTATTACTATGTAAAAATAAAATATGTAAAATACTTCAAACATGGCCCAGAAAACATAATTTTAATTTCTAAATAAATGTATGATAAAATGTATTTCACTATAAATGTTTACTGCATAAAATATAACACTGTTGTTGTTTAATTATCATTTTCATGATGATCACTAAAAAGCTGTGCCCTTTCTGAATCAACACCAAAAATAAATGGCTTTCCTCTGATTTCAGTGTGAACTAGGTATTTCAAGGTATGGGCTAGAGGAATAGATGTTTTTTTTTTAATCACAGCCCATATTTGTATGGGGTGTGTAAAAAAATACACAGTAAAAATATAACTCCCAGTGTCTATGCACACACACACATACGCAGATAATGGAAACACAATTTTACAAATCTATGCTTTTTTGTTAAGTGCAATGAACTTAAATACTTTCTTCTCTTTTCTGTTCTGTTGCATTTTGCATTGTCCTGTCACAGTCTGCTCTACCTCATCTAAAAATGTTGCTTCGACTCATTTATTTGATGCTAGTAATCACTGTAACATAAATGAGAGTCATGAAGGAGTTATGTCCAACAAATAGGTGCAAAAACTCAGACTTTCATTTAAAAAATACACATAGAATATAATAATATTTTTTAATGAGCTGCCAAGCTATGAAAAGACATAGAGAAACCTTAATACAGCTTGCTAAGGGAAAGAAGCCAATCTGAAAAGGCCACATACTAAAACATTTCCACTATATGGCGTAATGGAAAACAAGCTATAGAGACAATAAAAGGATCTGAGATTGCCAAGGGCAGGGGATGGGGGAATGGATGGTTGGAGCACGGGGCATTTTTAGGGCAATGAAAGCATTTTTCTAGGATACTATAATGGTGGATATGGGACAGTATGCATCTGTCGAATTCTATCCTTCTAGAGTAAATGCAAATCCAAGACTCTAAACACTTGGATAGTCCGTGTCAGCTTTTCCTTAAGGAATTCAAGCACATGGCTTCTGCCGATAGATATGCTCACACCCTCTGTTGGTTTAGGTTTCTTCTAGATATTTTGTTTTTGTTTGGTTTTTGTTTTTTGAGACAGTCTTGCTCTGTTGCCCAGGCTGGAGGGCAGTGGCACAATCATGCCACTGCACTCCGGGTTAGGTGACAGAGTAAGACCCTGACTCAAATAAAATAAACAATAAAATAAAATAAAATAATAAACATAATGCAAGAGAGAGTCTGAATATATTAACTGGGTATCTGGAGTTAGCATATCTATGCATATATATATCTGAGTGGTATAAATGCACAATACAGACAGTGATCCCTAACATAAACTAGAAAATTTAGTTGGTAATAATGTATCACTATTGGCTCATCAATTGTAATAAATGTGCCATTCTAATGCAAAATGTTAGTAAGAGAAGGAACTGTATGTGGGGTTGGGGTTGGAAGAGGATCCATGAGAATTCTATACTTTATGCGCAATTTTTCTGTAAACCTAAAACTGTTTTTTAAAAAATAGTGCTTATTAAAAAAATGTAGACTCAAATGGAGAGTAAATGTAGCATTTCCTGTGACATTTATGAAAACACAAACACTGTGTGCAGGAGAGGAAAAGCCCATCTTTCCTATTGGTGGCATTTTAATATGCTTCTTTCCCAGCCCTCACTGTGCCAAGAGGCTGACTGTTTTATCTTGACCAGGATGCCATGCTAGGCATACTTTCATGTGACATTTTTATGCACTGCACAGAGAGATTAAAAAATCATTAATGGCTCTAAACTCATTCTCCAATTTTCGGTGTGTCTGTGTTTCTTTCTGGTCCTTTATCTGCTCGTGCCTCGATGCCCTGTTTGGGACAAAATGAAGAACATGAGGTGAATTAGTCTAAGATAGACTCACATTCATCCTCTCAGCTCCTCCTAACTTGCTGACTGAGAAACCAATTTAGATTGCCAGGGTTTCCACTGCCTCTTCCAGCAGCATGGGTCGGTTAGACAGATTGGTAAACAAGAGTGAGCAGCAAAGTGCCATGTGTTTCTGTGAGGAGCAAGAGTCCGGGTAGAACAGGGGTTAAAGAGGGCAGAGAGAGCAGACAGTGCAAAGCAGGCAGGGTGATAGGAAAATGCCCTGAAGGAGAAAGCTGTGCTGAGTCTTTGGTAGAAAACAACAAAAACTGATTTGGGTCATCAAAATGTGGGGACATACTTAACGAAGGATGTGAGGTTTGTCACTGGTATCAGAATTAAATAGAAAAAGTAAGCCTTGGAAAAAACAGAAACCGAAACAACAGTTCCAGGGATATGACACACAGGAAAAACTTAGTCAATACCCACCCCTCCTCCACCCTGTTTTTCTGGAAACTCAAGATTCATGTTCCTGATTGGCCCAGGTTGGTTCAGACTCTCTCCCCTACGCCCTCCAGCTCTACCTTGACTATGGGAAGGTTGAGAGTCACGATGGACAGCCACTCCCTGCTAATTCTATCACATAGGAGTAGGAATGTTCCCCCAGAGCAATCAAGAGGCCAACAGCAGAAGATGGGGGTAGGGAGAGATGCTGAATCATACATCAGTAGAATCTCCTGCAAAGTAATGAAGATAATCACTTACTCAAAGAAGACAGGGGACAAGGAACCTAGACAGAAGGAACGGTGTATTCAAAGGCATGCATATAAATTACTAACAGGAGAGTTGGAAAATGGAACTCAAGCAATGTGAATGAATGGGTTGTGAAGTACAGTTGATTCTCACGATTCAAGGTAGTTATATTCTATGAAATCACCTGCAACACTGAGCAATTAGCAAATACTGAATACTGCTTCTAAGGTAAATATGGAGCTAAATTCCTGTGAATGTTGTATTATGTTTTTGTCAACAAATCAATACATAACCTTGTTTTGTGTGTTTCTTATTTAATACAAATGGTTTCATTAACATTGAGCTCATGGTCAATAGCACAATAATTCATGATATTTCCCTGGAAAATCAGGGGAAAAAATCTAGAAGAGAATCTTTTCTCAGTTAAGAACTGGTAGTCCGGCTAGGCACAGTGGCTCACGCCTGTAATCTCAGCACTTTGGGAGGCCGAGGCAGGTGGATCACGAGGTCAGGAGTTCAAGACCTTCCTGGCCAGGATGGTGAAACCTCGTCTCTACTAAAAATACAAAAAAAAATAGCCAGGCGTGGGAGCAGACACCTGTAATCCCAGCTACTAGGGAGACTGAGGCAGAGAATTGCTTGAACCCAGGTGGTGGGGGTTGCAGTAAGCCAAGATCATGCCACCGCACTCTAGCCTGGGAGACAGAGGGAGACTCTGTCTCCAAAAAAAAAAAAAAAAAAAAACAAAACAAAAAAAAAACTGGTAGTCCATAATCACAAAAATAATGGGTTTTAAGAAAACTAATGTTTCAAAATAAATCAGGTATATTTTAAAATAAAAATGAGTATACATA